>NW_025791776.1:0-208405 GCF_000001405.40 Homo sapiens | reverse complement strand
GAATTCAATTCAGCTGCCATTGAATCCCATGACAAGTGCCCTTATAAGAGGAAGGCAGAGGGAGATTTGACACAGACAGAAGAGGCTAGGAGAGGAGAAGGCCACGTGAAGATGGAGGTAGAGACTAGAGTGAGGCAGCCACAAGCCAGGGAGCGCCCGGGGCCACCAGACACTGGAGGAGGCAAGGGAGGGTCTTCACCTAGAGCTTTTGGAGGGAGCATGGCCCAGCCAACACTGTGATCTTGGACTTCTGGCCTCTGGAACTGAGAAAGAATAAATTTCTGTTGTTTTCATTGACCCAGTTTGTGACCATCTGTTATGATAGCCCAGGACATAAATAAAATGCCCAAGGGCACACTGGTAACCACGTCTAAATAGCTGGACAAGGACAAGCCCTCTGAACTCTACCAGAGCCACCTTTTCATTGCTGAGCTTAATGTCTCAGGGTAGGGGCAGACCAGGGCAAAAATGTGAGCTTTGCCAGGTACATTAGTGGCTGCATAATAAATTACTATGAATTTAGCAATTGAAAAAAACGTCTATTCATTATCAACCTGGGTGGAGTTGGAGACCATTATTCTGAGTGAAGTAACTCAGGAATGGAAAGCCAAATATTCTATGTTCTCACTTTTAAGTGGAAGCTAAGCTGTAAGGACCTAAAGGCATAAGAATGACATAATGGACTCTGGGGACTTGGGGGAAAGTGTGGGGGAGGGGGTGAGGGATAAAAGACTACACATTGGGTACAGTGTACACTGCTCGGGTGATGGGTGCACCAAAATCTCAGAAATCACCACTAAAGAACTTATCCTTGTAACCAAGCGCCACCTGCTCCCCAAAAACCATTGAAATAATAATAATATTCAAACAAAAAACCACCCAATTGTTTTAAAAAACCCATCTATTTATTATCTCCCAATTTGCATAGGTTGAGAGTCCAGGCACATGGCCTAGCTTGGTCCCTTATGCAAGGCCTCACAAATTTGCAGTCGAGGAGTTGGCTGGGCTATGTCTCTTTCTGGGTGTTGGGGGTCTTCCAGGCTTAGGAGGTTGTTAGCAGAATTTAGACCCTTGCAGCAGAAGGACCGAGGTCCCTGTCTACTGTGGGCTGTCAGCAGGGGCCACTTTTAGCTCCAAGAGGCACGTACAGTGCCCTCCCCTGTAGCCCCCTCACAATTTGGCATCTTATTTCAAGGCCTTCAGGAGGATCTTTCTTTTCAGAGATAGCCTAGGCTCGCATTTAAGGGCTCAGCTGATTAGGTCAGATCCACCCAAGTTAATCTCCCTTTCAATAACTGGAACTCAACTGATTAGGGCCCTTAATTACATCTTCAAAAACCTCTTCATCTTTGCCATATAATGTAACATAATCATGGGGTGATATCCCATTCCCTTTGCCGTATTCTATTGGTTTCCCCACTTCAGGGCAGGGGATGATGTGGTTGTGACTCATTGGGGAGGTCACCTCCAAGTGTGACTGGCTTACCTGCAGGGACTTTTTTCCTTGCTCTTCTTTGCAAGCTTCTGATTTCTTCCTAGCTCCTTTCCTTCCTCACCTGAAGCCCAGCACCCATGCACTGCTGGGACCTTTGCTCTTTCCTCCCAGTGGGACAAAGTATTGACAGCACTAAGGCCTTGGCACTTGAATTTTCAGAAAGATAGAAACTCAAAGGGATGGCTTTCAGTGAATCCAATAATCTGCCACCTACGAAGGAGGAATCCTGCGGAATTTATTCTATACTCGATTCTGCTCATCAGAGTGTGGCTGTGGGGGGGTCGCTTCAGCTCTTTGGTGTCTCTTTTCCCTGAACTGTGAACACTAACATTCCCTCAAATGCTGACACTAACATGACATCAGATGAATGTAAATGGGACCATGGGTGTCCAGCTCTGAGTCTAGTGTCTGGCAGGGGCTCCCAATCCCAATGCCCGGCCGCTCCATGACCTGCAGCCCTGTCTGAAGTGGTCCTTTCCCTGCAGGATGCTTTGATACAGAGGGCAACAGAGGCCAGACGCCACCCATTTCCCATGAAACATGCATGACTCTGTGTTTCATTTAGCCCTGGCCTGATGAGGATTGGGAATAAAGGTAATGAATCCAGCCCACAACCTCCCACACACTTGCACATACAGTCCAGAGCATCCTACAGGGACAGGACCACTTCAGACTGCCAAGTGCCAAAGGCCTCTGAAAGGCTTCTCTGAAGGCGGATAGTTTGGAAAAAGCCAGGAAAAACATCGAGTTTTAACTTGCTGCCTTCTGTCCAGGATCTTAGGGACTTAGGGAGCAATTCCCTGGGACATAGTACAGGATATTATTCTCTGTGCTCGTGAATTATGTCTGAAAGGCAGTAGAAGCAGCATAAAAAATAAAAATTCCAAACTCTGTTATAATAGACACTAAGGATGCATTGAAGGTCTTACCAAAAGAACAAGAATAAATATAAATAAAACATAGTGAATTAATGGGCATAGAAGTATATTATCTAGCAATTTCTGCTTTGCATTTGTTATTTTGACATGGCAGGAAACGAGGAGCAAACTTTCCATATGCCTGAGGATTTCTTACTTACACTCTTATCTGTGAGGTCCTGCGTGATTAACATGTGGTGGATGGGACTCGAGCCTAAATTCTGATCTAGACCACCTGGACACCTGAGGGCGATATCTGCCTGGTGGACACTCTGGCAGGTAAAAGCTGTGTTCCTGGCCTGAGCTTTGCCCCACTGGGCTCAGAGGAACGCTGAGCGCTGGTGGTGGATTGCGGGGAACTGTGTCTTCTGTAAAGAAGGAGAACTCTTTGTGTGCCTCTGGCCTTTGGTGCTAAGAAGCAGAATGAACTGCTTCTTTAGGCTCCTTTCCTGGGTCCCCATAGTCTAACCTAAGCCCCTATGGGAGAAACAACCTTGCCTAGAAAAAATGTCAAGGGAGAAAATATTTCCATGTAAGGGCCATAGGGCAGGCCTGAATCATTCACCATCCACTATCTAATCTATTTATTCATTTATCTATCCATCCATCCAACATCTATCCATTCATTACATCCAACCATTTTTCCATCCATCCATCCATCCATCCATCCATCCATCCATCCATCCATCCATCCATTTATCTATCCATCCATTTATCTGATCATCTGTATATCCATCCATCCATCCATCCACCCATCCATCCATCCACCCATCCATCCATCCATCCATCCATCCATTTATCTATCCATCCATTTATCTGATCATCTGTATATCCATCCATCCATCCATCCATCCATCCATCCATCCATCCATCCATCCAGTCACCCAGTCCATCCATCCATCTATCCATTCATTCATCAGTTCATCCAACCCATCCACCCAATCACTCATCCGTCCATCCTCTGCATTCCACTTGGTTTCTGTCTGACATTTTCCACCCAAGTCCTTTGCACTTCACCAGCCCTATGGGAGAAGACTAAATTAAAGTAAGTTCAAAAAGAGGGAGAAATCCAAAGTGACAACCAAATGAGCTGGAAACTTCCAGGAAACTGAGTCAACAGAAAACTCTCATTCAGAAGCCCATGCTTTTAATCTATTTGTCCCCTACCTGCAAAGCTTCACACTATAGCAACCTGGCCCCAAAATAATCCACTTCTTCTCTTGACCATTATTGGTATTCCTTCACTATGAGGGGTGGGACGTTGGCACCCCTGGAGGTTAGTGCTTAGAACTTATGTGGGAATTGACATTATTTGAAAAGATGTGGGTTTCAGTGGTGTTTTTGAAATGGTGTGTTGTATTTTGTAAGGAATCCTCTGGCCCACTGACAATGACCTACACTATTGCTGTGACCCGTATATAGTTGCTAGTGGTTCTAATTTGGGTGGCTGATTAACAAAATCAGATTTTAAACAACTATGTGTCCTCCATTGTTAGATTACAAAATTATGTGCCCTAATATAGCCTGAAGTGAGTAAATCTTACCCAATTGAAGAAATTCTTTTCTCTTTTGGGGGGATCATTCATAAGAGTATAAACTTGGGAGGTATGTATGTATCTATTTCTATATCTACATCTATATCCATCTATCTCTACCTATATTCTTTTCCTAGGGCTGCATTAACAAATTAACACAAATCTGGTGGCTTAAAACAACAGAAATTTGGCCGGGCACAGTGGCTCATGCCTGTAATCCCAGCACTTTGGGAGGCTGAGTCACCATCCTGGCCAACATGGTGAAACCCCATCTTTCCTAAAAATACAAAAAAATTAGCGGGGTGTGGTGGCATGTGCCTGTAGTCCCAGCTACTTGGGAGGCTGAGGCAGAAGAATCACTTGAACCTGGGAGGCGGAGCCTGCAGTGAGCTGAGATCGCGCCACTGCACTCCAGCCAGGCAACAGAGTGAGACTCCATCTCAAATTAAAAAACAAAAAACAAACAAACAAAAAAACAAACCCAGAAATTTATTCTCATGGTTCTTGAGGTCAGAAGTCCTAATCAAGACACTGCCAGGGTTGGTTTCTTCTATTTTCTTTCTCCATGTTCCAAGGCAGTGCCGCACTCCTGGATTCATCCTATGCATGTGTGGGCAGATACACTTTATATTTCTCAGGCAGCATGACTGAAGTCTCAAGGCCCCCGTGTCTGGTCCCAGCATCGTAATACACTACGATGAAGCCCCCAGACTCTGAATTTAACTTCCTGTGCCTTAAAACAATCTTTCAGAAAATGGGGTCTCTGGGTTATACTTCCCTTCTCATAAAGAATCCTTTCACTCTAAGAAGTCATTGGACTAGGCTAGTTTTAAACCCCTCTACGTGAAGGCATGGAAGTGTGTTTGAACAGGCTCTGAGCTGAGGACTGAGCCTAGGGCAGACAGAACCAAATTAAATCACGGAGTTGATCCTAAGAATCCCTGAGGCCCTTTCCATTTATTTATTAAGTAAATAATTGGCACGAAAATTATAAGTCATATGCTTTGCTTTAATTTTTGATGCTATCTTTCTAGAGTAAATTTTAACAAGCTCCAAAATATCACTTACCAAAAGCAGCTTCTATTCCCATTTGAATATGAGAAGGTCTGAACCTTGGATGCCATGAGGTCCAGGGCTCTGAGGACATCAGACAGGGACACAAGATCCCCGGCAGGCAAGAAAGGAGGCCCCCCAGGAGAATCAGGAGCACAGAAAAGGAGGAGAACAAAGGAGGCAGTGTTATAAGGAACTGTATGCTGTTTTGGAAATTGGCATGTTTTATGGAAAAGCAACACCATAACATGTAGAAACTAGAGTAAAGTGAGAAGAAAACCCTTGAAACAATGAGAATAAGATTACATAAATCAAGTTTATGTAATTAATGGGGGTTTAAAACTCCCCATGAATTGCAGTGAGAGTCTGAAAGTTCGCAGTGACTCAAGGTATACAGATCAGCATCCTAGCATTGTCGTAATGGCAACCACATTCATGAAATGAAGTCACATTGTAGAGAAGGCAGGCAGGAATGAAACCAAGCACATGTGTGGGAATATACACAGCATTTGGTAAAGGCGAGGAACACGATCTAATGCAAAATTATGGGAAGCATTTAAAAGAGGTTTAAATGATACAACTGCAAAGTTGTAGCTAGAAACATCCTTGGAGTTAGAGACTTAAAAGTTGTTTTAGTATTGACTTAATGTAATGTTGTAGTGACACAGGAAAGTAATTGACCATATTTAAGTAAAATCAGATTAGAAAAATCAATTATACTTAATGCCTGCTTCTGATCTATAAGCTGCACACTATTGCCTACTAAATCTGCTTCTCAGTGTTGCCTAGAGATGAAATGAGAAGATAGTTCTAAAAGGTCTTTGAGAAATTAAAAACTTTGCAAATGTAGGAAAAGAAAAAAAGGATGTTTTCCTATGGGAAAGTTTATTCATGCTGCTTATAATTATTCCATTGGATTTTACCTTCAAAATTATTATATGAAAACCTTTAATGACTCAAAAAATAATCTGTAATGGGTTTAAAAAAAATTGTACTTTCAAAACTCACCGTATCCTGACCTTGTTGCTGGTATCCTGGCTCACTGCTGTACAGTTATACATAATCCCGACACTCGAAGGTTGAACAAACGAAACTTGAACTATTTCAACTTCATTTTGTCAAGCGGTTTGTATGTATGTCTACTTTAATATCTCTATCATTTCCCCTTGTTTAAATAAAAATAACTTGTTTCCAATAACATTTATTCTGGCATGGAAATAGACCTGCAATAGTCCATTCTCATGCTGCTATGAGGAAATACCCAAGATTGGGTAATTTATAAAGAAAAGAGGATTAATTGACTCACAGTTCCACATGTCTGGGGAGGCCTCAGGAAACTTACAATCATGGTGGAAGGCATCTCTTCATAGGGTGGCAGGAGAGAGAATGAGTGCCAAATGAAGGGAGAAGCCCCTTTTAAAACCATCAGATCTCATAAGAACTCACTCATTATCATGAGAACAGCATGGGGGAAACTGCCTCCATGATTCCATTATCTCCACCAGGTCCTGCCCTTGACATGTCGGGATTATTATAATTCAAGAGAGATTTAGGTGGGGACACAGAGCCAAACCATATCAAGACCTCTCTTAAGACAAACACCTAAGTGGCAAAGAAGAGCTGGAGAGCATGAATTTTATATAGCTCTGCCCTGCACCTATCCTACTGACACAGAACACACCTTGAATTGTCAACGTGAAAGGCCAGGGCTCTGTTCAATCCTGCTGGGCCTTTTACTTTGGCCTTAAGAAAAATACGTCCCTGGACACAGATCACCCAGACCACTGCCTATAACTCTCTGACACAGCTGAGGCTGGATGCACTCTGGGGAGAGTTTGTGATTTGGCACACTTCCATCTCCATCACCCCACAAGTTCAGAGTCAATGCCCTATTGACGGTGTATCTTTCATGCTTTCACCCAAAGGAAAGGATGCAAATTCACCTGGATGAAATGAACAGCCTGAAAGTGGATCCCAACAGCCAACTCAAGTGGTCAACTTGACTGTGTCAAATCAATCTCACTGTTATTTGTACAATAATGTACTGAGTTCTAGTTACACATCAGGCCCTGGGCTCTTGCTTCCCACACATTTCCTGTCTTGTCACTACAGCCCTCAGCAGTAGACATGCACTGCAGAATTTCAGTTTGGAAGGTGCAAGCCAAGTGTCTGGGTGTAAGGCTGAGTGCCTTATCTACATGTGATAAGAGGCGTGGTTTTCTGATCTGATCAACAGCCCAGCCCTGTTCAGTACTAAAATAGCCACATTTTGAGATTTTAAAAAATACTCTCTTGATTAGAAAATGATCTTGAATATTGACTAGGGCTGAGAAATTCCTCGGGTAAACAGCTTAAAACAAAAACTGAATACCAACATACATGTTAGTATGAAAAGTGAGCTGAAGTACCTCTTCGATAAATTGTGCTTAGGGCACTTGAAAATTGTCATTTTCCAGAATTGTTACTCTGTAAGTTCTCCAAAGAAATAGCTCTATAGTTCAGTAGTAGTTTAGGCTACAGTTTTGTGCTAAGCACACTATTTCACTTATATTGAGAAACTTTAATGGAAATCTTTGTCAATAATGTTTAAGCATCTTTATAATGCAAATGGCAGCTGAAGGAGAAATCTAAATCACACTGATTAGATTAATTAGATTTGGTTCAGTTACATTTCATTGATTTTTGTGGAGAATACGCATGATATACTTCAAGGTTTTCATTTGGCAAACCACGAATGAGTCAAGGGACACAAGATCAGAGGGTGCCAAGTGACAGAAAGTCACTCACCATGGCCCGTGGGGAGAACACATGTGGAGACCCAGATAAATCCTGAGAATTACTGAACACAGACCATGCGAGGACACAGCAAGCATTCCGTGTAAAGACGTTTATTGGTTTTAAAGTTTTATTTTCTAGAATCATTGTTTTTTTTTTCTCATTAGGGCAGTGCCTCTAGATTATTTGACTCATGCACTCACCATCTTCCAGTGGTAAACATTTCTTTCCTGTTGATTTATGCCACATGCGTTTTTTTCTCTTCTTTTGAGGATCACAGAAGAGGACAACTCTGGAAACAGGATACACCAAAGTCTCCCCATGAATTGCGGTGAGAGTCTGAAAGTTCGCAGTCACTCATGGTGTACAGATCAGCATCCTAGCACTGTCATAATGGCAACCACATTCATGAAATGAAGTCACGTTGTAGAGAAGGCAGGCAGGAATGAAACCAAGCACATCAGGTGACAGCAGTTTCTGTGTTAGTTCAATTAGTGTCATCACCAGTGACTGCCCAAGGTCTAGAGGTACAAAACGATTGCATGTCTACAAAGTAGGACAGTCACTTAATTTACCACCAGTAGAAGGAAAGAGAAAGCCACCTCCTGGCTTTAATTCTGCGAGAGACACAGGGTGAATTGGCGGTTGGGGGCAGTGCAGGGATCTCTTTATCCCTCCATGCGGCCTTACTGACCTGGGAGGACGGCCTCGCACCTGACCCCCTCATTGCACTCTATTTGTCTAGCCTTATCATGACCTTGAAAGAAAATCTTGCTCCCCTCTGCTTTGATTGTTGCTGTTTGGCCAGCACACTTTGCTCCCGTGTTTCTTCTGGAACCAAACTAACATTACTTATTGCTTTCCCGAATGTCAACAGAGTTTGTTTGCCTTTCCAGATTATTGACCACATTCTGTGGATCAGACAGGCCCTGGGCTTAAAAATGATATTTAATACTATGGGAACTAGAGGCTGCAAAAATTAGAAGGATAAGTAGAACCTAGCAGAAAACTAAGAACAGAGCTGTACATGATTTCACTGTCTTTGGAGAAAAAAATTACAAAGTTCTGACTACAGTCCCATAGGCTGAGCTCCAAGCCCCTTACAGAAGCTTCCCAAAACAGTTGGAGGGAATTTCTGCCCTTTGCTCCAATTTGCTTTGGGCACAGAATGGATCCTGTGGGTGTTTCTCAGCTGGCTTGGAAGACTTGCAACTGTACTGATTCAATGATGGGGTGAAGAGTGTGTGTTTGGTGAGGGCCACATGAATTGCCTAATAGTCTCATGAAGCAACATAAAGGATCAGAAAGCCACAGTAAGGCAGTGGCCTTGTGGCTCCTGTCCTACTGTGGACAAGCCCCTCAAAGTCTCTGGGCTCGCCTCCTTCACTGCAGAGGGTGTAAAATTAGGCTAAGTGGTCTTCCAGATTCAGTGGCTCTACCCTCACTACAGTCAGGAAGTAAGCTCTGCCCCTTTAGAAAGCAAATTCCATTAAAATTTCGCATGCTATTGGATGGGTACACTGAAATATAATTGCTACACACAGGGCAAGCTCCACACGCCAGGCTAGGCTGTCAGGTGGGACCGTGTCCTGCTTCCTGAAATCAGCTCCATGAATAGGGACTCTGCAGGTGAGAGGTGGCAAGGGGACTCCAGTTCTCCCGTTCAGGGCCAGTGAGGACAGAGTCCACGCTCCCTTTCAAGGTGCCCTCAGCCCCTCCCATTTCTACACCTGCTACACCTGCCCTTCTCCTTCCCTTTGCCCAGCCATGGCTCAAACCTGATTTACTCCATGAAATCTTTCTGGTTTTCAGTCAGAAAATCTCTGGACTTGCACATGTCTTTAATTTCTGCAGTGCAATTTGGCACTTGCCTTGCTTGGTGCTGGTGCCTGTGCGCTATTCCTATCTTTTGAGTTCCTATCCAGGGAAGGGGCTGTACCTTAATCTTCTGCATGCCCTGCATTTAAGAGGAGAATGCTGAGTGAGTGGAGAGATGGCCAGTTAGTTATTGGTTGATTTTTGGGTCAGTTGGTTGACTTAATGTAAGAACTGGGGACAGAAAGCAAGTATATGATTACCAGGTATGTGTATTTTAACCACTGTAATTGATCATTCTGAGTCGATATCTAAGTGGGTTCTAATTAAAGCCTGCTGTAATGTAAACGTCCTAATACTACGAAAATGACACTTACATTTCGTTGACAATCTTTAGTCTCCAAAGCACTTCTGCTGCGTCATTTTGGCCAATTCCCACACTGACCTGGTAGGAGCTCACAGCTGAGGAAACCAAGGCTCAGGCAGGTGGAGTGACTGGCCAGGGTTACATGGACACATGGCTTTTTGTCTTTCAATCCTAGGTCTTTTTCACTCATCTACATATTTTTCTCTTAAAAAAAGGTCAAATTTTGATAGATGGAGCTGAAAACTTTAAGCCGACACCCTGGTTTTTCTGAGTAGTGGATTTTAGAAACAGCAAGTCTTTGCAGGAGTATTGGCACATGTGCGTGTGTGTGTAACTAGGGGGAATAACCTTGCTGCTCACATAGAACTCCCTAAGGCATAAGCAGTTCTCAGTCTTCTAGAAAGTTACAGACAGACCATGTGCAGGCCTTACCCAGCAGTGGAGAAGATACCCAATAACAAGGGTGATTGGTTCAGGAAAATTATTGGACGGGAAGGAGTTCTGCATTGAGAAGAGGACAGATGGGTTTGTGATTTTCTGTTTGTTTGGCTCTGTGGGCTCTGGCTTGGTTTGAGTTCCCACAGATACATGGGTGTGTGGAGCTATCGGGACATGAACATTTGCACCCACTGTCTGATTATTCCCTCGCTGTCTGTCCAAAGAGGAATAGGTTCCTTGGCTTGTGTGGGAACGTGGCCCCAGGCTTCAGGCCTCTCCTTCTCACCCTGGGCTCCAGAGGCAGGTGTCCACTTCAGTGGGGTGGAAGGAGGCTGTGGCCAAGGCACAGGCAGCCAGGCCTGTGCTCAGTGTCCTAAGGGTGCCTCCATGGCTGGGCACCACCGTGCTTGCCTACGAAGGGAGTCTACCAGAAAGGGAGTCCGCACTCCTAACAGTCCAAGCAATGGTAGAGTTTTACATCACTTCCTACTGCTTTTAAAATGAAAAATTCTTACCAATTGAGTGAAAAATGGTATTTCGTTCACTAAAGAATTGATTTCTTCTATAAGTTTCTAACAAACCTAATGGAAATGCCATGCAAGAAAAATCAAACTCTGAGTGTATGGAAGGAGCGACACTGAGCTGAGTGTCTCTCTGCTCTGTCGCCGGCTGCCACCCAGCCCAACCCGGGGTCAGACCAGTCTCTTGGCTGCACCCCTTGGTGCAGTTCTCAGAGAGCACCGTGAACCTGTTTTTCAATCAGCTAATAAACACTACTGAAATGACCTGCCTTTGGATATATTTTTCCCCCTAAAGTAAAGCTGCTTTTAGTTTTCATTAGAAGAGGAAAATATTTAGAAAGGAATAAACTCAGGTGCTTTCCCTAGCAAGATGTTTCTGTCCTAGGTCTTTCATCTCCACAGTGTAATTCCATGATGACCACTAGCTCCAGGGTCCAAAGACCGTCAGCCAAATGTCAGGTTTCCAGGATGGAGAATGCCACCATAGAGGGTTGGATGAATGAACATCGTAAGTTCACTGTCATCAAGTTTCACGACTATTATGACTCACAGGGAAGCTGAGCAGGCCCTGCATTCTTAATACACTGTCATTTTGGTCTGGCAGAGCTGCCTGTGTGCACTTGGGGGCAAATAAGAAAGTGGTAAAGAAAAACAAAAGTAACAATAAGTTTGGTGAATGGGCAGCCCTGCTGAAAGGCGCCAATCCTTGTTCTTTGAGGCAAGGCCTCTTGGATCTCTGAAAACCTTGAACCAATGGGCAGGTCCCCAAGTAGACAAAACTGCCTGAAGAATTGAATACATTATCCCGGAAGACTTTTCCTCCTTCACAGCAGTAAGATACAATTGGCAACATCTGAACTTGATCGAATCATCCCTTCAGCTCCTTGGCTGCTTCTGGGGACTATTTCAATCTACTGAATTTTTGCAAAGACTATGGGTTCCTAAGACTCATTTCTGGTACCTGACTTAGAACGCTGCTCTGGAATTACATGTTGTAGTATTTGCAATATTTAAAAAATTTAAGAATATCTGAAATATTTTAAATGGAAGGATAGCCCACAATGACTGGATCCTTGAGGCAGTGTATCAGGTATGCATGATTTTATTTAAAATGTGTCCAATAAGACTTGCCACTTGGAATGAACATTTTTACTTCTTTCCTCATATTATTAGAAACAGTATTTCCTCATTTCATGGAGTTTCTTAGAAAGTTCTAAGTATTAACAGAAGAGAAAAATGAAACCGTGGGGGAGATTAAATAACAGGAAGTTTACACCACAGCAAGGGTGCTCACCCATCCCAATTTCGGGGGACACACAAGTGACTATTGGGTGAAATAGACCCGATCATGCAAATCATCGTATGATCACTTGGTATCCTTTGGCAGTTCTGACATTCATTGTCACTAGCACAGATATTAAAATGAGTCAGATGACTGCAGTGAATGGGAAATCATCTTTTGCTTTTGGTGGTGGAGAGAAGACAGGAACACAAAGGCGCGGCCGTAGGACCATTTCCTAACATCGGACGAGACTGTTCGCAGCTGACCATCCGTTGCTCTGAGCCCCAGAGGGCGCACCTGGTGTCTACGCCACCGTCTGCCAGGGGTGGTCGCAGTATCCTCTGCCTTCCATCTAATGGCACTGGTTTATCTGTGGACAGCAGCACACCACAAATCAGCATCGAGAGCACGTTTTCACCAAGTGGGCAGTTGTGGTTTTAAATCACTAGAACCTGGCAATGTTAAATTTGTGTTTTCATGAGCCAAAGGTCATAGCACAAATGAGGTCTAAATGTCATCACAGCGGACCATGGGCCACAGAAAGACACATTTTCAAGTTATGTTGACCTTCCAGGAAGAAAAACAGAGATACAGAGCACAGCAAACACGTGCCGGGGACGCACGGCGGAGATGCACGGCGTCCCTGTGAAATATGAACGGCGCCATTTACATGGAAATGGAGCCAGCAGGGGCATTGAGTTTCCTGCCGGCTCGTCGGAGCTGCTGTCATGGAAAGAAGCTCAGGGCAATGTGACCGGGGTGGGCAGAGGGGCAGGCAGGCTGGGAAATGTCACCATCTCAACATGTGTTCTAAAGTGACTTCGAGGTGATCATTCATTTATAATCGAAACATAATCCGAACGGCATTTGCTCCCTCTTCCTCTCTGTACACACATCTTTTCATAAATAACTTAAACGTCTCCTGGGCATTCAGGATGCAGTTCTGGCTGGAGTAAAAACGGGTGGAGGATGCACAGCATTGAGGAGATGTCAGGGTACTGGTGTGTGTGTGGACAGGCGCTCGAGCGTCTACTGCACGTGGCAGACATCAGCCGTCGGACACGGGCGGGGTGACCCAACCATATTTTTCATGCGTCTTCACCAAACTCTTAAAGGTAGCTTCAGCTTCCTTGCGACTGAAGGACTTTTTTGATTTGCCAGCTTTTCTACAGATCCGTCCCTGCGTGAGATGAGAAGAAAAACCAGGTTAGAACGTCACTGGGAATTCTGTTTCCTACCATCTTTATTAAAAACACACAGAGTCGTGGGGATTTCTGATGTCTGAATCAATGCAATGCACTGGCCACCAGCAGGGTGGGGGCAGCCTCACTGCCCAGATGCAGAACAATTCAGCTCTGGCACCAAACAGATAGGGCAGCCTGGGGCTGGCAGCCTTTTAGGGGAGGGGGGTGCTGTCTTTACAAACCCCCACACAGCACTGGCTGAATCTGAACTTGCTCATTCCACAGTGCTGCAGAGAAATCTCTGCCCCAGTTCCTGAGACACGCAGGAGGGGACGGCCTTACCAAAAGGGCATCAATTCACAGCCAAGCATTCTCTCCCTGAGGCAATATACTGTTCGAACTTCCTTTCCCTCCCTCAAAAGAATGCCTTTAATTATCACTTCAAATTCCTCTGTGATAACAGGGAAGATAAATATATTTATAGAGAGATGTGTATATTTGTATATTTCTACTAATATTTAAAACTCTATTTTTTAAAATTCAAGTTCCAGAGCCATTAGTGAATTTATTGGAATTCATGTCACTTCAGCACCATTTTGTGAGGTGACGGTGGACATTTTCATGGAAGAAGAGACCCATCCTCGAGGTCCAAGAGAGGGTAGAGGTCAGGGCAGGTGCTTTGTCACACGATCCCGGGAGGGGGTGGGGCCAGTGAAGAGGGCCACGCTCCCTCACAGTGACCAGGCGTGTTCTGCTCCCAAGGACAGAGCACTTGTCTCTGCAGTGGTCAAAAGGGACTGACCCATCTTATGACGGCACAAGACGGCTCTGGACTATGCAGAAGAAGAAACCAGGCAACACTGCCCATGTGACAATATCTTGGGAAGCCCTGGCAAATGTGGAATATCTGGCATCAGAGGGGAGGAGCAGATGGAAGACAACCAGGAGTCGGGGTGATGCTGGCCTCAGTTGGACCTGTGGCAGCTCTCACACTTCCAGCCTCAATTACTCTTCATTAAGCCTCTTAATGGTGGATCAACTGAAACGTTCCCTTAGCCTCTGAGGCACATTTCCTTCCACTTAACCTCCCCCAGGCTCTCCTGGAAGATCTGCTCCTCTCCTTGGGCATCCCATGTACATGTTTTGCAGATGGGGCAGAAATGCCTGGAAAGAACTGGCTGAGCTTTATGTACTGGCAGGCGCATAATTACCAACCATCGCCTGCTGTTCAGGAACCTTCGCGAACAGAATTTCTCTCTGAACAGACCCTCTGCACTTCCAATTCGGGGCACTGGTGCTACAGCACAACTGTGGGCACGTACTGGGATGTGAATGGGGACCAGGCCTCCCCACCAGCAGCTCCTACAACACACAGCAGCCAGGTGCCTTGGACAGCCATAGAGGGCAGAAGCCATATGGGTCTGTGTGGCCACCAGCAAGCACGATCCACCTGATCCTGGCTCTCTGATAACTCACTGACAACTCCAGTGGGAAGGCAGCTGCAATGGCCTCTAAATCTACTGGGCAGACGGTGCCCAACCACCTGAAACGTGGAGTGGAAGAGGCCATTTCATATGCTTGTATTCGGAGCCTACCTAGGCTTCCTTTTCAATAATTGTCTTTTCAACAGTGGACACACAGGCCAATCCATAGTTGAGGAGTCAGGAGTCCAGGGTTACCAAACTCTGCCTGCTCTGGATATCCCTCTGGTTTCACTTGTGCATCTGTCACTGGGGGCAGCAGAACCTTTTCCTTTTTTAAAAAATTTTTCTTTTTCTTTTTTTTTTTTACAGACAGGATCTTGCTCTGTCATCCAGGCTGGAGTGCAGTGGCGCGATCGTAGCTCACAGCAACCTCAAACTCCTGGGCTCAAACAATCCTCCTGCCTCAGCCTTCTGAGTACCTAGGACTACAGGTGTGAGCCACCACATTTATCTAATTTTTTATTTTTTATAGAGATGGGGTCTCACTATATTGCCCAGGCTGGTCTTGGACTCCTGGTCTCAAGTGATCCTTCCACCTCAGCCTCCCAAAGTGCTGGGATTACAGGCATGTGCCACGATGCACACCTTTTTGAAAACGCTGTATAACTCACATAGGAAGAGTTGCTAAAAGGATGAAGGAAGATCGGAGGAAAAGATGACAGGAAATGGCCATTTATTGACTGCTAGCAACATCCCCATGCCTCACTAGGATTGACTCCTATTTTGAGTTTTATAACTTCAAGCATATTTGCTTATGCGATGTAATTATGCTTGATAAAAAGAGACCACTCAGAGCTAATATATTCATAATCATCATAATTGTGGGCTGAGATCAAAGTCCAAAGTTATCTTATTAAACATATGAAAACACATCTTTCACATCTTTGCGAGGATGTTAGCATCAATTTCTTCTTTTTTTTTTTCTTGAGACAGAGTCTCACTCTGTCATCCATCCAGACTGGAGTGCAGTGGTACAATTATAGCTCAGTGCAACCTTGATCTCCTGGGCTCAAGAGATCCTCCTGCCTCAGCCTCCCAGGTAGTTGGTGCTACAGGCATGCATCACCACATACAGCCAGTTAAAAAAATTTTTTTTATAGAGACAGGGTATCGTTTTGTTGCCCAGGCTGGTCTCGAACTCCTGGGCTCAAGCAATCCTCCTACCTTGATTTCTCAGTGTTAGGATTATAGGCGTTAGCCAGTGTGCCCGGCCAGCATCAATTTCTACATCAAGTGACAGCAAATATCAAGGGTTGATTTTTTTTTTTTTTTGGCGAAAATGCATATTTTAACCATCTGTATCCTTTTTCTCCACAATACTGAAAATCTATGGTATTATTTGAAAATCCTGAACTAAAGGTAGCTAGACCAATAGAGGCTCACAGTCATCCTGGACTATTCTGTGGTTTTTGGCATGAACCCACACTTTGCCTATTCTTTGTGAAAGTCTCAATTGTTACAAGAAACAACAAACAAAACCCCAGAGGAACAGACCACTCTTTGTTGCCTTTTCTTCCCTGGAAGAATTATGAACAGAAAGCCCTAGTGCTTAGTCAATTCCACAGCTGGGAGACAGAGCCCGTTATGAGCCAGTCAGAGGCTCAGCGCATTTATTGCACTACACTGTGATAAGGAGCTCTCATCGCATCTCCTGTCTCTTACACCCACGTTTACAATTAACAGTTTTTTTTTCATAGGTTCATCTTCTGACTGGCTGTTTAAATACGACACAGTGAAATGCTGGACTTGGAAGCCACTCCCTGCATTCCCCCTTTATTTCCTGGCTCTGCCAGGGTCACAGAGCCGTTTTTCTGACATGCCCTTGCTGTGCCCACTGCACCAAGAAGAGGGGGGACCCCTCCATCCCGTGTTCCCTGCTTGCTGCAGGTCTTTGGGAATTGCCATTCATCCTTCCAGGATACAGTCTCTTGAAATGTGAACTTCTGGGAATCAAGTGCAGACGATACCCATGTCACACATCATGACGAACATCCAGTAAGATAATGCATTTGAAAATACTGAGGACTTTGAACTTCATACAATTAACAGCGTTTTTCTTATTCTCATAACATTTACCTTTCTCCCTTGTCTGTTTCTATTTAACTAATAATCAAAGAATCTAGTCTGAGATATTTCCTTTGAATAACTCTCATTTCTTCTAAAATATCTCTACTTGTTCTTAATGTTAAAAGGCATAGATGTGACTCTTCACTCATCCACTACAACAGCTTTGTGTTATCACTCAGAGTTTACAGCAACACTTCCTCTCTTTCCTGAGCCACACATGGTTAAGTGTATATTTATGAACAACTACAGGATTTTGCCATCACCACCTTAAAAGTCTCATTGTAATACAGAAGTCGAACAGTGTTAATGAGAATACAATTCTCCAGGGCTGCATCTGTCAAACAAAACCAGTAGGTGGTATTTTGATTTGATTCTTTTTTTCCCTTATGGCCTTTTGAGGGCCAATAGCAATGATGCAGCATGAAAACATTTCAACACAGCTAATAAGATGACAAGTGGCCCCAAACTTAACTCCCCAGTTCGGCCCCCATGTAATTGAATTTCAGCCTGGCACGTCTGCATCTTCCTTAATTGTCTAATGCTTCTCATTCATTCATTTATGCATTCATTCAATGTGTTAGGTGCTGGGTCAAACAAGACAAAGTGATGCCAGGTCTCTGCCTTTAGGGCTTAGAGTCCACTGTGGGCGGATAACCAGGCATGTTGCAGCTGTTGGGACAGAGGGTGTGGAGCAGGCAGGGTCTCTCACTCTTGGTATTGTTGGCATCTTGGGCCAGGTAATTCTTTGCTGTAGGGGCTATACCTGCATGGAAGGAAGTTAGCAGCATCCTTGACCTTTACCCACTAGATGCTAGTGGCACCCCATGAGTAATGACAGAAATTGTTTCCAGACATTGTTAAACGTCCCCACAGGAGCAAAACCACTCCTGATTGAGAACAACTGGTGTGTAGAACTAAAAGAGCCAGAGGCAGGAAGAGTCAATTCATTCTTTATTCATTCAGCAGACGATTGCTGCAGGTCTTCCCTGTGTCAGGAACTGTGCTGGTGACCGGGACTTCAGAGCTTTCTAAGGAAAATAATTCTGCTCCTTATGGAACTTATAACCCAGACAGTATGACGGATTCTACACTGGGGAAGAGAGAAAGAAAGGAGAGAGAAGAGGGGTGGTGGCAGTGATTTGTGTGTTCAGAAAGATTTCTGTTGACAATAACGTAAGCTAAGCCTTGAGACATAGGTGGGCAGGTGTTTACCAGGCTGTGGTGGGAGAGGACAAGGGGTCCCAAATTGAAGGTGTGAAATGGCTCACTATGCTTGGGGGAGGGGGAGGCTTGGGCATGGAATTTAAGTGTGTGTGTGTGTTTGTGTGTGTGTGTGCTTGTGTGTGTGTGTGCTTGTGTGTGTATTTGGTGGGGAAGGAGTTGCATAATTCAGTAGACCTGGCTTCAAATCCCAGCTCCAATACTTCCTGGCTGTGTGACCTTGGGTGAATCACTTAACCTCTCTGAATGTCGATTTTCTCATATGTAAAATAAGCATTATAATAGTATTATGTGGCATTGGATTCTATAAGAATTTAATATGTTAAAACATAAAAGATGCTTTGCCCAATGCCAGGCACAGGGTGAACACAATAAATGGGGCTTCTTATTTTTTCAGCTATCACGGAAGATCTTCTCCTTTGGTAAAGATAGTTTCATTCTGTTCTCTTGAAAGAATACACCATATTTCTGTCTTTTCATGTAGATTTTATGACGTATTCAGTCACAAAAATGTCCACAGGCAAATTCAGTATATTGCATTTACATAGCTAATTTCTTAGCCTTTTGAATTATGTCTGTCTTAACAGGTTGACATTAATACATTAATTCTATACTTACTTGATTAGCTTTTTCTCTCATTCCTTTTCTTTGCAAACATACTTTCTTGGTATTTTTGTGTTTCATTTGCCTATGAATTACAGACTTTTGCCCTCTAAAAATAGTTAAAATTTTCAGACTGCTTACGTAAAGTTTTGAGTTTCCTGCACTCATTTCCTGAGCCAAAATTACAGAGCTGCTACTTGTTTTTCAAGTCTTTGAAGGAGTAATTGTCAGTCTAAAAGCACTCGTAACCTTAAGCTCCCTGACATGGGTTGTAAACGTGTGCAAGACTCATTTTAGGTTTCCCCTAAAACTTCTATCTGGGGGCAAAAATTAAAGCTCACTAGGCTCTTGGCTTGAGGAAAACCAATGCTTACAAGCATCTTTCAAAGGAGGTCCGCTTTGGAAAGACATTGGGGATTTCACCTTTCTCTTAAGGTTTAATGTTCAAAGCAAATCCTAGAAAAAAATCAACTTGTAAGTTTCTAAAGGACAAATGAGACTCTACAACAGATCAGACTCTTCTAAGAAACACATTCCCAAATCAGATCAATGACACTGAAGCCACTGACAAGCAGGGGACTTCAGCTGGATCTAGTCGGATGAGACAGGAAACAGAAGGATCCAGAGAAGGTGAATATAGCCCTTATTGTGAGCCTGGGGGTGTGTGTGTGCATATGTGAGCATGTGCACGAGTAATGCATGTACATACATATGCATTTGTGTATGTGTGCACGTGTGTTCATTTGTGTGTTTGTGGGTACTTATACACATGTATCGTGTCACATGTGAGCATGTGTGTCCATGTGTGCACATGCAGGTGGCTATGGTGGTTACATTCAAACTGCAGGGACCGATGTGAGCCTCCCTGCTGTGGAATGGCTGCTGACTAGAGCCCACAGTAACCTGAGGGAAGGCTCTTGGCTGAGTGGAGGGAGCCCCAGGCCACATGAGCCAGTTTAATGGGTGGTCCCTTTGCACAGGGAGAGCTTCAGCCTGGTGGGTTCCGAATCTGTCAGAACCCGACCCAGCACTAACCAGTGCAGGGAGGGAACAAGCAGAGAGGGCTGGGAGAGCAGAAACAGGGGAGGGGGAGAAAGACAGGGTGGGAACATGCTGTTGGAGCTGATGAGCCGCCAGTGAGGTCATGTTGAGGTTTTGTCTGAAGTGCAACCCGGGAGACTGCTGAGTCCCCACACCGTCCGCAAGTGCCACGGTGACTGCTCCGTGCTCAGCTCGACTCTGATGTGCGACTGCTGCCTGGCTGTTTTCACATCTCATCTCATTAAATGTTGACCTGGGCAACCTTTGCAACGAGTAGGAAACTGGGCTTCCATTAACTGACTTGCCAAGGGCTATAGAAGAGCTGGGTTCGAATCAAGGACTCCCGAGACTGAAGGCAGAGGCACCGCAGAAGAGCATGCGTGTGGCCTGAGGGTGCCATGAGGGGCAAGACCAAAGACAGGCAGCCTCAGGGCCAGGGCCTGAGGAGGGGCCCAGAATCCTCAGGGAAAGGGCTGGAGGCAGCCACACAGGCTGGGCGACTTCCTCCAGGAAACCAGGACTTGGAGTATGCAGACCAGCCCTCCCTGCTCGCTGCCCCTCCGACGCCAACATGGGCCACTCAGGCTTCTGCGCTCCCTGTTGGGTTTCACTCAAAGTTTGTGCCCAATATGGCTTGGGGTTCCTTTCATCGTTCAGACACCAACAGCAGACTCATTCATATGCATCCCCCATGACTAGCTGTGATTTAGTTCCCAGATCTGGTAGCTAAAAAATGTGTTGAATGGTTTCTGGAAAGTACCAACTCAAAATAGTCACCTCAGAAGCCATAAACCTGATCTTTCGGTTACACTTTCAGAATGCACTGTTTGCCCCAGAGACCTGTTGACTCACGCCCAAGCCAAACACATACAGGCGACCAGAGAAGTGGCTTCACAAAGTAGATGACTAGAACATCCCACCAGATCTGAGGGCATAGAGGACAGTGCATTGGGTGGTGGGGCACGAGGGGCCACATGGCTACATGGACCAGCCACACAGGGATCAGCCACAAGGGAACCAGCCCTTGGCGTGGCTTTAGTGGAAATGACGACTCTCCTCCATGGCCCTGCTCCCACTTTGATAGAGATATGTAGTTTCTGCAGAAAAAATGCACTGGGAAACCCATTCTTATTACAGTAAAATTTCTCTCTCTAGCGAGAATGTTTCCAGGCCTGGAACTGGGACGGAAGGGCTGTGCGTGTCCAGGAGAGGCGAGCAGAGTCCCAGCAGGTGATGCGGTGTCCTCAGGAAGAAGGCTGGCTGCGCCCTGCTGACATGCAGGGAACACGATCCTTCACTCCAAACACACCTGCCGTGCATCACATCTGTGGGCTCCTCATTTTTTTTTTTTTCTTATTTTAGACAGAGTCTCACTCTGTCACCCAGGCTGGAGTGCAGTGGCACGATCTTGGCTCACTGCAACCTCCGCCTCCCAGGTCCAAGTGATTCTCCTGCTTCAGCCTCCCAAGTAGCTGGGATTACAGGCCTGCACCACCACGCCCTGTTAATTTTTTTTGTATTTTCAGTAGAGACGGGGTTTCACCATGTTGGCCAGGTGAGTCTTGAACTCCTGACCTTGAGTGATCCACCCGCCTCGGCCTCCCAAAGTGCTGGGATTACAGGCATGAGCCACCGCACCTGGCCAGGGCTCTCATTTTTAAAGGCGTGTTTGAGCCTATCAAGACGTGGAAGAGAGTGTACAGAATACAGTAAGCATGTCTTTTCTTCTTTGGGTGCTGACAAGAGCATTGGTCTGATCAGAGTGTGTTGGACTCGCAGCAGGGAGGCCTTGCTGGCGTGGTGGGTGGTGCGCAACCACGGATGTGCAGTTTTCCCACTTGGAGCTGGGAGACAAGATGAAAACATCTGGCATCTCTGCAGGAGCAGGTGTCCTCTAGATGAGAGTGCCTCTGCTTGGGCCCTGCTGACGCTGGAGCTGGATCATCCCCAGCTTGGGCGCTCCTGTGCACTAAGGGTGTTCAGCAGCTTCCCTGGGTCATTCCTGACCATGTGCACCGCAGAGTGTTGAGCAGCCTCCCTGGGTCGTTCCCAGCCGTGTGCACTGAGGCTGTTCAGCAGCCTCCTGGCCTCCATTCTCTGAATGCCATTAGTACCCCTCTCCCGAGTGGTGGCAACCAAAAATGTCTCTGCCTATTGCCAAGCACTCCCTAGGGGGCTGAATAGCCCTGTGGAGAAGCCGTGCTCTAGAGTGGACTGTGGGAGTGCAGGAGGGGGTACCTAAAGGGGCTGGGGGCCCAGACGAGTGGAGGAAACTTCCAGGGGAAGGTGGTTCAGGAGCTGAACGCAAAAGACAAGTGGCAATGATCCAACCAGAAAGCAGGAGAGGGGGCAGCAGGAGCAGACGCCACGTGAGGGTGGGCAGTGAGCATCCTGAGGCTTCCGGGAGTCAGAGCTTGCTGGGGGGTGGAGGTGGGCGAGGCAGGGATGGGAGGTGCCTTAGTTTCTTGGGCCTGCTGGAACACAGCACTCCAACTGGGGGCTTGAAACAACAGAAATATGCTCTCTCACAGTTCAGGTGGCCAGAAGTCTGACATGGAGATGAGGGCCCAGGGGAGGGTCTGCTCCAGGACTCTGTTCCAGCGCTCAGGGGCTGCCAGCACCCTTGTGTGCCTCAGCCTGTTGGCACAGCGCTCTAATCTCTGCCTCCATTGCCATACGGTGTTCTCTGTGAATCTGTCTCTGTATCCAAATCTCCCTCTTCTTACAGTGACACCAGTCATTGGATTAGGGACCACCCTAACCCAGCAAGACCTCCTCTCAACTCAATGACTTCTGCAAAGGCCCTATTTTCAAATAAGGTCACATTCACAGCCACAGGGGGTAGGACTTCAACTATTTTGGGGAGGACATAACTCTGCCCACGGCAGGCATAAAGCTGACAGAGAGGCCTTTCACCTGTACCTCAGCACTTGCACCCATTCTGCAGGTGGGCGCACATTGGGCCATGTTTTCCTTGTGGATGGTCATTTGGGAGGTGGTATGGCGGTCAGTTTTGGGGTGTTGTCCAGTTAGGTTATTGTCATGGTCCAGAGAAGATGGCGAGGGCCTGGCAGAGGCCACTCAGTGAGTCCAACTAAGGTCATGTGGGCAAGGCTGGGGGAAGGATCAGTGGGAGGCCCGAGCCACTCCAGGCTTCTGACCCAGGAGGAACAGGTTTCTAGGATAAGATACTGAGTTCTGTTTGGGTTGGCTGGCTTTGAGGTGTGCACAGAAATCCAGGCAGGAGGCTGCTGGGTATAGTGGTGGGAGCTCACACCAGGGAACCTAAATGATGTGGTTCTGCAGGGAGAGGTGTGCGGGGAGGGGAGCGTGCCCCCTCTCTGCTCTCTAGCCATAGGCCCGTGAGCAGGTCACCCTCCCTGCACCTAGCCGCTGCACCCATGTCACTACCCGCCCTCACCTCCTGCATGGGGATAATGAGCACCTGGCGTGCAAGGCGAGATGGGATGGAGGTGGTGGGCCACCATGCCAAGTGACCCGGGGCCAGGCCTGCAGAGAGAGACGCTGTCTTAGGAGCAGGCTGTGGGGTCCTGGGAGGATGGGTGTGTTTGGCTGGGGACAGTCAAGAGGAGAAGCAGGAAATCTAGAAACGGGGAATTAGGGCAGGTGCAGCCACAACGAAGCGTGCACAGGTGAAATGGCCCGAGAAGCACGCTCCGGGCCAACTCTTGAAAAACAGTCATCTGAGATGTGTGATGGTTACTTGGTTTATAATACTATCAAAACCTTAAAAACTCCTATTGACCTTATTTTTTAGCACTCTTTACACATTAAGAAAAATCTGGTTCTTTAAAAAAGTGTAGCTTAGCCATGAACAAGTCCAAAGAGAGCAACCTGTAACCCCCAGAGGTTTATGAAATGCTTGCCACCCCACAGACGTCAAGCAGGGTATTAGGAAATGCCGGCACTCAGAAACTCTTTCTTAAAACTGTGAAACCTCTCAGGATGACAAAGCCAGCATCGGTTTCGTGTATACTTTGGTGATACTCATAAGGAATTAAAGCGAAGCCACTCTACTTAATACTATACAAAATCCTCCAGCTCTGGCAGCACCAAAGGCACAGTTCATGGGCGCTTACAAAACAGAAGCAGCACTTGCCTCTACATTTTAAAGAAAGTACTAGCAATTACTGAACTGTTTTGAAACAGATGGTACTTTCTTGGAGGAAGCAAGCGCAGAAAAAGGAACTTTTTGCTAAAAATGTAATGATATGAGATAATCCTCTCAAGGTTATTTTTTGGAGATCCCACTAATACTTATACTTTTGCATAGGCAGCCGGATCCCAGTGGGTTTCATTAATGTGCACTTTAAGACAGGTAAGTGACAGATACGCTCATTAGTGACATCGTGGTGGCTGTGTCGACTGTGTCGAGGGCTGTCTGAGCCAGGCCCTGTTCTCAAGATGGGGCAAACACTCTCACTGAACCATACTGAGACACTCCAGCAGGTGGGGTCTGCTGTCATCAGGTCTATTTTACAGACGAGAAAATGGAGACACACAGATCAATAAGGTGCTTGGAGTCACTCAGCTAGGAAGTGGCCAAGGGCCAGGATCCCAGTGCAGGAATTCCTGGCTTTGGAGGCCACACTCTGAACCCCAAGGCCAGGCCAGCTCTCAGAAACGTGCGGAAGGGTCACAGATGTAAGAGAAGGCAAACAAGATACTGACCATTCACTCAAACAAACAAACAAACACAAACGAAAAAAGTGACCCGCCTGGCTGTGCCCCCTGGCACTGGATGCTCCTTGGCCACCAATTACCTGTGTCTCTCTCAATGTCATCTCAACAGGGAGCTCCTGGCCAGCCATCCTGTCATTTGCCACATGGTTTATGTAAGCCCCGAGATGATCAGGGCCCTGAGTCTACCTTTACTACGTACATTCTGGTCTTTGCAGCACATGTGGGGGCCTCGGCACACGCTACCTGCCTGACGTGGTGAACAGGGTGGGTGACCTCCCTGGTGAGTCTCTGTCCCGAGATGATGGGGGCAGTCTGTGTTTGTCATTTTGGCCAGGACCAGAATGCAAAAGGAAGCTGCTTTTCTTGGGCCGCACCCAGGATGCTGCACTCCACTCTCAAGGCCGAAACACTTACTCAGCACAAAGGAGACCCCCGGTCTGTGTTTTCTCCTTGTGAGATCATTCCAGCTGTCTTCACAGAGGATTCTGGAAAGTCTTAATGAGCACAGCCTCTGCCCTTTTTATGATGGACAGACTCACCGGAGGATACAGACATCAGCACCTCTTCATTTGCTTCAACATTTTACTCCTTGGACTTGGCTCCATTAAGGCACACATTTCCCTGACTAGCCCCAGAGACCCCCCACTTTCTTACTGAAGTCGCCCCTAAGTTGAAGTCAGCTCTGTCTGCTCCTACGCTCAGTGAGTGACCTGCAAGAAACAATGGTGTTCTCCTACCCAACTTGACCTCTTAGATCACAATCCGGCCAGCTCTTTTCCCTGCACAGTTGGTCTTCCTCAGCGTTCCATGTTTTTCCTTCTTCTTGGAACACATACTGAACAGGAAGAGAATCCAGGGCCCCATCGCTATCTCAGCCCACCCATTCTCGGTGGCTTAATTCTCACTTTCGCCCTCTTGTTCCGGCAGGTGGGACTCTGCTCACTCAGCTCTGTGGCCTCCCGTGCTGTGTGTCCCTAGATGCCCACGGCTGCCTCCACCCTGCCACGCCTCCCTGATTTCAGGATGAGGCACTGGGGATCCAACAGACTCCTGATGCTGCACACGATAGAAGGGACGCCCCCAGGGCAGGCAGCTCTGTCATGAGGCCTGGCCTTCCTCACTCCTAGGAAGGATGAAGCCCCTGAGCAGGAAGGAAGCAGAGGGGAGTGGAGGGGTGCCAGGGAGATCAGATGCACCGATGGGCACCCACTCTCCATGTCTCCTGCCTTTTGCCTGTTTCCTGACAGAATGCATCTGCACGTCCTAGGATCACTCTCCCACGTGCGCAGGAGATCATCCACCTGCAGCCCTAAGCCCTTGCCTGTGGTCTGCTGTGGCTTTGATCACCCGTGCCATTGGGTGATCAGGACACTTCATTTCACAACTGCTATGGCCCAGCCTTGCTGCGGAACAGTTCTCTCAGCACAGATAGTAGGTACGGCGATGCTGTTAAAGTCCAAAAAAAAAAAAACCGAAAGAGACCAAGAATGTCACTAGGAAATGTGACAGGAATCAGAGCCTGGGAATGAATTTGTCAAAACAGAGGCAGCCACCATTCGCTGTCTGCCCTGCTAGCAGGAGCTTCACGACTTTGACCAAAAAGCCCAAACTTAGTTGTTCTAGAAATATTGCATCAAGAAGGAACGCGTGATTTTCACAGACAACCCAGGTAAATGGCGCCTGGTGCTTTCACTGCTGAGGTGGCTTCAGGGAGGCTTTGCGCTTGATGGTGGCAGTTCACGGCTGTGGTCTCTTTCCAAGCCATGTTACTTACAATGACAGAGAAAGCTCATGTCATACAGCATGCTCAGCACTAGAGTTTCACAATGCAGAAGGAAATTCAGCAATGTCAAAAAATAAAGTAAATGAGATTTTGGAACCACTGGAAGTCTTCAGATATATTTTCAGGTAAAATTTCCGTGTGAAAATATGATCTGGGCACAAACTCTATAAAAGATAGGTTACTTTCTCAAATAGTCTGTTTTTGCAATAAAGCACAGCAATAATAAGACTCTACATGGATTATTTACTTCACCTACTTTGTTACTTTTCTGATTTTTAAAAGAAGGAATTGTGCTCATAAAGATGTGAGATTTAATTTATGCCCCTAGAGATCCCCAATACCTGCCAAGCAGGTATTTGACTTTATTCTAGGAGGGTGGTTTCTGGGGAGACACCAGGTCTGTCTTTTGTCTGGCTTGCTTTCTTGAGGCACTGAGTGAAGCTGCAACTTGTGCGATATGGGATATGGATGAAACCTCCTGGAACAGCCTTGCATATGCAATTTGTTTCCAAAGAACCACCCAGATTTGGTCAACAGCCCACTTGGTCTTTGGCTTACACGTGCCACATGGGGGAACTCTTGAAATTCCCGCCTGCAGCCTCTCCCTGCCACCCAAATGCCAGTTCCACACACCCGCGTCCTGCTGGACACTTCCACCAGGCCAGCAGCTGCTGTCTCCATGTGGATGTTGTAAGATCCAGCTCATCAACTTTCTGCCTAAATGGTCTCTCTTTTAACCTCTTTATTTTGAACAAAGCCCCACTGACTTCTAGTCAACCATTTCCTTAAAGTCTGGAATGTCACCAGGTCCAGCCTTGGGTTTTGGTGGTGGGGGTGGTGGTTGTAGGGCCTCCGGGCACACCTATCCTCAGCAGGCTGATCTCCGGGCGCACCTGTCAGCAGGCTGACCTCCGGGCACACCTGTCCTCAGCAGGCTGACCTCCACGCACACCTGTCCTCAGCAGGCTGACCTTCAGTGCAAGGAGTTGTGCTCCGTGTGCAATTCACCAAGAATCTTTGGCATGACTAAAATGGCGACTTGGTCTGCAATGGTGGCAGGGTGACTGGGAGGAGGTCACGGCCAGGCCAAAGGTCAGTTTGTGAGGCCCAGTGAGGCCTGGGGGGCACGTGGAGGTCAGGATGGAGAAGCACACAAGGTGGGCTGTTTGAGACAGTGTCATGGTGATCACTGGCCCTGAGAGTGTGGGCGCTGGTGTAGGCATGGGGGTGTGTAGAGGGTCCTACTTCCTGCCCCTGTCCCTCCCCAGGGCACCCTCATGTGACTGTGGACCTCCAGCACTGGTGTGGGCTGGTGGTCTGTGGGCTTCCATGTGGGCCATCCTGGGGAGGATGGGGTGAAGGTGGGAATTTCGGGGTCCCTGGAGTTTGGGTCTGGTTTCCAAGGGGAAGGGGATGTTTCCACTCTCTCTATGCCAAGAGGGGGCCACTCCTGTCCTTGTGAATGGCAAATCATTATTGGTGGCAGCTAGTGTCCAGTGAAGACAACGCCGTTTGTTTTTACAAATCTCAACTACATTTTCCTGTGAAGAAACCCATTAATTAGCAAGTGGGCATCTCTCATGTGATACGACCAAAGGTCACTCCAGGCAATGAAAGGAACCAAAAGGTACTGCCCCAAACCTGCCATGCATTCGCAGAGTGTGCTTTGCTTTCTGCAGCAGTTCACAAATATTATATAGTAAGCTTAGGAGCAGGTAAAATAGTGTACACCTGAGGGGTGCCGCATGTGGCTCTTTAACCGAGCCCCCCAGGTGTTTCCGTTTTGAGGTCATTGTCTCATTGAGTCAGGACAGCACAGCCCTGGCAAAGCTTCTTCCTGCAGCAACCCTGACCCAGCAGCCCCGTGACCCAGAGGGCAAACTCCAAACACATTCTTAAAATGGGATGTTTTCACCCGTGGGAAAATTAGACCTTTAAGTGCTGAAAAACTTTTAACAACCAAACACCTCAAAATAAGCTGGAACCATGCTTGGTGCATTTGCCCTGAGGGCACCGCGTTGACTGCTTTATGCCTTGGCTGCTCCTGAGGTGCTGCTGAGGTGCAGGCTCTGCAGAGGCAGCAGAGGTGTCTCCTCTGCACAAACATCGGGACCCCACCCCCTCCCTGCTCAGGCCCCGCCTCCTAGGAATAAGGGAGCCCCAGTGCCACTGGAAAGCTCCCTGAGCTTTCCAGATACTCATCCATGACTAAGCAGGCATACCCCACCCTGATTTTGAAGTCCTGAAAGTGTTCTGAGCCATTTCAGTGGGTGTGATGAACTTATCACAAGTTATCCTAATATACTTTAAAAAATAAGTGTATTTCATAAAGCATTCTTTCCGACAGGTCTTGGGGTTAAATCCAGCACCTATCAGCAGGGGCCAGGCCCTGGAGAGCCTGTGCGTTTCTGCCCAGCACATCATTGCTCTAGCTGGTTCTCCAGCTTGCTCCACAGGGGCAGGGCTTGTCTCTTGTGGGCGGGGTCCTCTCCAGCTGCAGGCTGGAGGGCCAGTTCCCTTCCAGCACCTGGCAGAGCTTCGGCTTCAAGGCTGAAGTCTAATGCTCCCTTTACAATGACCCTGCCTCCTCCAGCACCACCCACCCCACCCCCCATGCTCACACTTCCCCCGGGCCCTGCCTTCCTACCCCTTCCCTTGGCTCACACTGGTTTCTTGTTAAATTAAGAGCTCTCAGTGAGACTCCACCCAGCAGTGTGCTACAAATACTGGATAAAAGGAATGGACCGAAGCCATTTCAGGGCCATACAGTATCATTCCACCTTTCCAGACTGGCTGGTGTTATACAGGTGATGTAAATGAAACCCAGCACACACTTTATGTTTGCAAGGAAATAGGGGACAAAGATACGGCATAAGATAGCTTAGTCAGTGTAGACAAAGCAAATTCGGGATCTCTGTGGAAAATGCCGTGTTCTATTATCGTAAAAGAGTCTTAAGAATGTAATCAAGAGAGGAAGTTGATTCTAAGTTCAAATTCCTAGTCTCTGGTTGAAAAGCTTAGAAAACTAAAGGACTGCTTTTGATTGACCTAATAAAATTAACAAGAGATTTTCTATAAGCAACTAGGATGGCTATTATTACTTTTAGGTCATTACTTTGGGAGATGTTCTGATTTTAATTCTTTTATTTGTATAAGGGCATTGCAATACAATCTCGGCTTTTTGATTAAGAATCATAATAGCTAAAGAAAATAATTCAATCGGTGATTTTTACAAGCGTCACTTGAAATCTTCACTGTTTATCTTATGATAGAATATAGGGAAAGCTGCGCCAGTCACTGCCACAAGGACTTCACATGCACACACATGCTCAGTCATCATCGGGGAAAGACTGCTCCAGCCTCTCCTCAAGACGGAGAAACGGAAGCACAGATGTAAACTGCACAATGCCATGCAGCTGTCAGGTGCTGGAGGTGGGATGTGACCTGGTGGGACTCCAGTTGGGTTCTGGAGACTGTGCTCAAAGCCCCTTCTCACCACGTGTGAGGATGGAACCTCCAGGTGATGCCCCACCACGCATTATTCCAGTACTAAAGTGCTCACTGCCCCTCTCAGGTGCTCAAGCTTATTTACTGAGGAATGAACGACGAAGCCTGTGGGGTTATCACTATGAGTCTGAAGGCCCCCGCATGCCACAGTTAGAATTCCAAAGAAAGGATGGTATGCATGTTACCATTTTCCAAAATGTGTCCCACGCAGTATTTTACACATTATGTCATCTAATTCTCACCCAGGAGGGAGATGCACTTGGGATTTTTCAAATGATTGATGAAGAATGAAGGAGCAAGTAACTTCTCTGTGGAAGTAGAGGCAGGAAGAGGCAGTGCCTCACCAACCCAAGCCTCATCCCGGCACTGGAGTTGGAGCCCTGTGATGTCTGAGCATTGGCAAGAAATATCAGCACCCTGCTGGCTCTGGGAATTTTTCAATAACGTCTCCTAAGCCAGGACTTCCCAACCTTCTCCGGCTATAGCATGCCCCACTCCAATGCCATGCACGTACTCCTGGTTGTTAACCTCCTAAGCACGGGTGCTCCATGCTGGAAGATCCACATGCAGGCATAGACCGTGGTGTACCAGCCCTCAGGCTGTACACTACACACCACGTGCACAGGCAACATCATTTTAGCCCTACAGGCTTAAAGCTTCTGCCAGCACTCAAATTCTGATCTCAGCTTCCCAATAAGTATCTTTTAGAAGGTAAATGTTTTCAGGAAACTGGACTTTCAAAGTAAAATCTTTCAATTTTACTGAAAAGACCGTATGCAATATGTTATGTTTGCAGCCAATAATTTTTTGAGGGCCTACTGTGGAAGGCACTAAATCAGATGTTAAAGGGAGCTAAGAAGTAAGTCATCAAAACTGCCCTTTTCCTAGTAATGGAAAAGTTAATCCCAGGTATATTTGGTGACATTTTAAATGGCATAAGAACAATTTTACAGATTAATTTTCCTGGCTTTGTTATTGTGATATTTACATTGGCTTGTGGTAAGATTCAAAGGTAACAAAAAATCAAGCTTCTTCAATCTCCATATTTGAAGCAGCAAAAATAAGTTTTGTGCTGGCTTTGTTTGCCTGGCTCTTACGGTACTGAGGTTTTCTGCGTCACTGGGATGTGACTTTCTGTTGACCTCATTATTTGTAGATGCTAGAATTGCCTACATAGAAAATCCTAAAGGCTCAGCTATTTTTGAGGAACTGAATTTGTTAGAGAGCGTTAATGCTCCACAAATAGCCATGTGGGTCCTTACATTTCTGCCTCCCTTGCAGTCAGATGGGGCCATGTGGCCAGTTCTGGCCAGTGGGTGGTGAGCAGAAGGAGGCGTGTGTGTTCCGGGTGGAGACAGTCGGGCGCTGATGCTGACATGCTCCCCTCACCCTGCTGTCACCCACTGCTGCTGTGAATTTGGAGGCTGTGTGCTCCAGATAGAGAGCAGACACTGGCCTGTATTAGACTCTGTGCCAGAATATATGTTTCCTGTATTAAACTGCTGAGATTTCAGGGTACGCTCTTGTGTGGAAATGAGAGTTCACTGATCAGAGTAAATTTCTTGACAAATAATTGAAAAATTACAAGGTCCACAAAAAGCTAAGATGATTTTGAAAAGGAAGAGCAGAGGGGGTTGTAGTCTGTTGGCTGTTGGACTAGGAGGCCGCATTCCTAAAGGCAGTGTAATATTTGTACAGGAGCAGGAAAATTGGGGAACTGAGCAGAAGAGAGAATTGTATTTACATGGGACTGTCATGGGATAACAATGGCAGCAGAAAGCCGTGGGAAAAGACCAGGTGGTTCAGACAATGGGGCCAAGAAAAGTGTTTACTGCAGAGAAAGGAAGCTGGGTGTCTACCTGGCAGCTCACATGGAGAAGGGCTCAAGATGGATGAAATCCAAAATGTGAAAGGAAAAGCTCTAAAGCCAGTGGGAGGAGGCTCAGGAGGATGCCTCGTGATGGGACGGTGAGGAAATGGTCTTCCCAAACAGCCTCGATCATAATGTAACTTGTTCAAAATTAGGGAGGGCTTTTTTTCCTCAATAAAAGATGAGAAAGAGAAGAAGATAAAGAAAATTTGGGGAGAAAATATTTGTGATGTCTAACACTTGCACAAAAAATTAATACCTGGAAAAAGAAAAATTTTCTGAAAATTGAGAAGAAAAAGCTAGACAACCCGGACACAATGCAGGGAAGGGAAAGAAGATCAGCAGATGTCTAAAGAAGAGACCTGAATGGCTGACAAGTATGCAGCGTGATGTCCAGATCCCAGTCATCAGGAAAGCACAAGGAAAGCAGCAGTTAGATGCCTCTAGGGTCCTGTCAAGGGGCAAAACAGAGGGGAGGACGATGCCAGGTGTTTGCGGGGAAGTGTGTCGATCGGCCGCTTCCAGAATGTCAAAGGCATTCTGGAAGTTTCTGGCAATACCTCGAGACAATCCACATACCGAGGCTCGTGCTCTTGTGAGCTCACAGCTGGGTATCAAGCCCAGAAGATCCACTTGCAGGTGAGTAGCCATATTCCTGTGACCACAGGGAGGTGGGAGATTGCTGGCATCCCCAGGGGAGTGGATGAGCAAAATGTGATCAATTCACATCTTGGAAAAATATGCAGGTGTGAAAAGCAATGGGCCAGACACACACACAGTGACACAGCCGGCCCACCAGCCCAAGTTCTGGGTGAAATAACTAAGATTCAGAGCAAGGCACAGAGGACAGCACTGGTTGGGCTGATGAAACACACATATGCACGGAATGACATGACACACCTGACAGGATGAAGTGTATCTAATAATATCTGCTAGAAACAGAATGGGCTCCCATGGGCCTTGCATGGATGGACTGGTGGGATATCATTAACCTCTCCCTACACCTGAGACAAAAAGTGAAAGTCACAATACAAATGTGGTTTACATGAACGTGTATGCCAGAATTTATTATGCATGTGTAAAAATGTGATAGTTTATATATACATCCATAACTGATTTGAACATACAATGAAAACAAGATCCTACCTACGGAATCAGCTAATATTATGCTCCTGTATCAGGCAGCCCTTAAGCTGTCCCAAAAGGATTTCCGATTCCTGGCGTTCACTCCCTGTTTGACCTCCTACCCCTGAGTGCGAGGGACCTGAGCTTGCTTCTATTGCACAGAGGATGGCGGAGTGATGGAAAGTCACTTCTGAGAGTAAGCCACAAAAGACTGCAGCTTTGATCCTGGGTAACCTCTCTCTCTCTCCCTAGCTCCCTATGAGGGAGGCCAGCTGCCATGCTGTGAGCTGCCCCATGGAGAGGCCCATAGGCAAGGAACTGAGGCCTTCAGCCAACACCACCCAGGGACTGCATCCTGCTGCCAGCACATGAGTGCTCATGGGAACCAATCCTCCCCAGTCAGACCTCCAGATGAGACAGCAGCCCTGGCCTGCAGTTCCCCTGCAGCTCTATGACAGACCCAGAGCCAGAGGCACCCAGGCATGCAGCACTCAGATTCCTCAACTACAGAAACTAGGAGAGAAGACATGTTGGTGTCTTCAAGACACTGAGTTTTAGGATAATGGGCTATGCTGCAGGAGATAACCAATGCTGAGGGCTGGGAATCCACTTGACAAAAAATTCCTAAAGATAATAAGATAAATAACAATCAAACGAAAAATGGACCAAGGGCAAAATGAGAAAGTCAAGTGGCCAAAACCCATTCCCTAAATCCATCCCTACCAAAATACAAAAACCCAACTGTATGAAAGATGCTACACCTGAATAAAATAGAAAATATGTAAGCCAAAAAAGATGAGATATGCTATGCCAGTGAGATCGGGAAGTAGTGAAATCATCAGGGTTGGAGAGGCCTGGGAGGTTTCCAGCCTCCTGCTGCTGATGGGACTGTAACCTGGGGTAACCTTTCTGAAGGGCAATTTGGCAGCACTGTATCCAATCAATATGGAGGGTGTTCCCACCCTTTGATCCAGTACCCCACTTCTGGGAGTTTCCCTATGGTAATTAGGGTACAAGGAGCAAACATGATACACAGGACAGTCCCCGTGGGTTGTTTAGGGAGGGAAGAACTGGAGGCCTCCTAACTGTCACCCGACAGGGCTGGCTCAGACGTCCACATCAGCCTGCACCCTTGGGGGCTCAGCAGCCTTTTGAAGACTTAGTTGACCAGGAATATGTCCAGGGACCTTATGAGAAAAGATGTGCACACCTCAGACTATCCTGAACAGCATGGGCCCACTGCTGAAAAAATCATGTATGCCTGTGGAAGTGTGTGTGTGCACACGTGTGTGTGCATGTGTGTGTGTTCACGGGTGCAGAAAAACAGCCAGTATCTCTAACAGGTGGAATCATGAAACTTTTCATTCTCTACCTTAGCATGTACTATTTTCTATAATCAGAAAAAAATTCTTAAGAGTTTTACAGGTTAGACAACATAACATATACCATTATAATTCTGCACACAGTCACGTAATCCACGCTTTTCCTGGCCTCTTCATGAAATACCAAAGCACTGTAAAATGATAATAGTAATAGTAAGAGCAATCATAGCATTATATAATTGGCTAGTTGCAGGCCTGGACACACATGGATCACCTGGAGGTGCACAAAGGCACAAGCCCTCTGGGGAGCACCAGGCTTCCAGGGGTCCATCCTTCATTTAGAGGTCAAAGTCATCACACCATGTTCTGCTCTCTAAATAACCATGAGCCTTTAGAGGAGCTCTGCGTTCAGTGTTGGTCCACACAACAGAGCCGCCACTGGGCTCTGAACACTGCGGCCCCGGCATCGCTGTTGTCTTATAATCGCCACAGACCATTGCAGGGTCCCGCCCGGCACCATCACCGAATGTCCTCTGTGTTCACTCTCATCACAGAGGGGTGTCTGATTCCAACGGAGTAACATTTGTTAAACTGAACCAAATTAGAGCCATCTCCTTCTCTAATAAATTGTTATCGTCATGAGGGCAGATCAAAGTTGGCAGCAACAGAGAAAATCTATTTATATTGTTCTCCATTTAATTGGCTTTTTTGGGTTAAGAGCACTTAGAGGAAGAAAAAAGTCCCTATAGATCATTTAAATTATGACATTGTGAAAGTCAGGGGTGTCATCCTGAAATTGAAATGTAAACATATAAGTGTATACTGTTTGAATAAAAAAATTTATATAACTACTTTAAACATACATTTTCATTTTACAAAGAGCCTTAGTGTGTGTGTGTATATATATACACACACACACACACACTTAGATTATATATATGTATAATCTAAGGATATAGATATACATAATTACATATATATAAAAAATATATATATAATATGAACACTGTAGCTCAACACCATAGCTTATATATATAAGCCTTAGATTATATAAATATGTATAGATTAGAATATTTAGATATAAATATATAAAATATAGATTATGTTCATATACATATATATAAAGAACCCAGCCTTATAATATTTTGGTGGACTCTGACATCTCTGAAGTTTATGGAAAATCCCTCAACTCATGAAGCATCTGGAATGGATTGGCCTGGGTGCCTGAGCATGGAAATGATGCTTTGTGTTACCTGCCCAGCTGTGCATCTGGACACATGAAGATAACAATTGATCTGGAGAAGACGCAGCCAAAGCTCAGGCAGATTTGCTGCCCTCCATCAATGCTGGTGGAGGAAACCAAGTCGGCCCTGCTCTTGCAGAGTTCAAGATTCCAAGGAGGCAAGAGACAGGAGGCTGACCAAACAAGAAGAACGTGAAGAGATGCAGAGGCGGCGGGCTGGTTGCACGCACAAGTCTGTCAGCCTCTGCAGGAATCATGAAGAAGGCCATTCTACCCTCTTCTCAAGTCTTGTGGCAGACCGGTGGTGATAATTGAGGATATTTTAATGAATTTGTCTACTTCTGAGTAAAACAAGAATGCACGTAAAGTGCACATGATGGAACATAACTGTTCTCTGATGCGCCTTGTGACTGGTCTGGTGTATCCCCCAAACAAGCACTCTGGTAGGTGCTTGTTTCAAACAATTTGATCAATAAAATTAACAACTAATAATCATTTCCGGAAGTAACTATAAGTTAACTGAGTAAAATTCTCCTAAGAAGTAGAATTGAAGGCTTTCAGAAAGCATCTTCCATCTAAATTTGGTAAAACATTTAAAATGATGAAAATGGTGATTAAGAAAAAGCATCAACTTGGTACATCAGCATCAAATCCAATGGAATGAAAAGATTCCCCATGATCATTTCAGCCTCAGCTCCTCACTGGAGAGCCACCTTCAAGTTTCACTGATGCTCCAGGCGGCTGTTTGAAATAAGGATCCACCAGTCAGCCCGTGTCTGTTGTCCCGCCTGAGTGTCTGCACTGCCTGCCTGACTCCACCCCTCCACACTCTCACTTTGCCGGTTGCCCTCTTTCTCTGTCCTCAGGCCAGTGCACACAGCAGGAGCATCCCTTCACCCACCCCGCGCCCCTGCTCCAGCTCCAGGGAGGATGACCGGCTTCCCTGAGCAGTTAGCAGTGGTGAGGCGATGCTCCAAACCAGAGCGAGGGAACAGGGCAGGGGGCTCGCTCAACCAGGACAAGGCATTTTCAAGACAGCAGTGGCTGGAAAGGAAGGAGAGAAAGGAACACTGTTAACCTTGGACACATGCAGAGGAGCAGCATGAGAACAGGGACGGGGGAGGTTTATAGAGACGGTGAAAGGTAAAGTGAGACAAAAAATAGTGTCATCCAGGGATCACAGGGAAATGGGAAAAGTGCCAAAGAAGATGGATCGAGTCCCTGTTCATTGATCTGGATGAGAGCAAGGAGAGAGGCCCAGCAGACAAGGCAGGAAGAATCCTGAAGGCGGAGGGAAAAGTCAGGCGTAAGAGATAAAGGCGATACAGTGATCTGAAAAAGGAAGAAAGAAAAAATTCTGGGACAGCTAAGAAAAACAGATAAACCTGCAAAACCTAAAGTTTGTGAGGAGGAATGTGTCGATGCTGCAGGAACAAAGGGGGATGGGAAGGAACACAGTCTGGGGGGCGCGGGTGGAGAGGCTGGGGCGGTGGGGCCCGCAGGGCAGAGACCCCCGGCAAAGACAAACAGGAGGACATCTGAGAGGCAAAAGCTGCAGGAAAGAAGACAAATGAACAAACTCATACGTGCTTGGAAAGCAAGGCTCTCCTGTGGGCTGAGCTGTGTCCTCTCAAATTCCTATGCTGAAGTCCCAGCCCTCAGCACCTCAGAACGAGACTGTATTTGGAAATAGAAATCTTTATAGAGATAATTACCTTAAAATGAGGTAATCAGGTTGGGGCCTAATCCAATAGGACTGGTGTCCCTCTAGGAAGAGGAAATTCAGACACACGTAGAGGAGACAGATCCTGTGAGGACCCAGGGAGAAGATGATGTCTACAAGCCAAGCAGCAGCCTCGGGATCCAGCCCTGCCCACACCTGGATCTCAGACTTCCCCTCTCCAGGAAGTCTGCGAGAGAATGCATTTCTGTCGTTGAAGCCCCCAGCCTGTGGGGACTTTGTTTTAGCAGCTCTCAAATAATGTAGGATAATGCAGGCTCCAAGAATAAAAGTCACAGCTGAATGGAAGGAGGAAAGGGGAGGAGAGGGAGGGAGAGAGAGCAGGGAGGGAGGGAGGCAGAGAGAGACAGAGAGATTGTGGGAAGAGAATGAATTTACACAGTAGCATAGAAATCTTCAATCAGGGAAGGACTACAATGAAATAAAAGAAAAGATGTTTACAGAGAAGTTATTTAAATGACACCCCTAACATTAAGTTACTTAACAAAATAAACAGCAAAGCCTCATGTGCCGGGTGACAGTCCCAGGCCCAGAACAGTGAGCAGCCTCCTCCATTTAGTGCCTCTTGACTCAAAATACAAACCTCTCTCAAACGTCCTGCTGGTGTGTTTTCTGGCGAATGGTATGATGACATTTCAAGGGCACGTGATTACAAACAAAACCCCATAAAGCTTATTCTCACGTACTAAAACACTCTGACCAATAAATTCAGTGTTTAGAGAAAGATAATTCACATGATGTATGTAGGGCCGGAGTGACATGCCTTTGGCAGTCAGCATCACCAGAAAGCCTTTTGACGGCCCTGGCTTTGTGGCTAAAAATGTCCACTTTCCTGACACTGCAGTTAAGGTGCACTCCACACCCTTCGTCTTTCTCTGATGGTTCATGATCTAGCAGTGCCTGAAGGACATCAACTCAACCTCATTCTCCGATAGGTGCTGAGCGCTTACTAGGCGCAGGGCTGGGCTGGTCCGGCAGGCCCCATGTTGCTGCCCGCCAGGGGCCACACTGCCCAGCCCCACCTGGGGGAGCGTCCAGCCCCAGATTGGGAGACAGGACACAGCCCCCCAGGAGGCCCACGGGCCACAGCCAGCTGCAGGTGGCCTGCTCTCAGGTGGGGAAGGGGAGAGGCTGTGGGAGGAGGCAGATGGGTTGGGGGGACTCCAACAGGACACCTGGCCTTGGGGTGTGAGGGGCTCGTGAGCAGCTCACACTTCCTGAGTGCTGAGCAGTTCGCTCCCCATGATGGCTGCCTGGTGCTGACAAGGACTGGAGGTGACCCTGGTTCCAGTTTTTGGAAGAGGAAACAGGGAGGGGAAGAAGTGGCTAGTTCCACCGTGAAGACGCTGGGCGCTGCATCGCCGTGGCTGCCGAGTCAGTGGGGAGGCCTCAGCCTCTCCATGCCTCCCCGCACTGCTCAGGGCCCTGGGAGGGTGGCAGGGGCAGAGGGAAGGAAGAGGGAGGGGCAGGAAGGGAGGATAGAGGGTGCAAGGGGAGTGTGAGGGGAGGGAGGTCGCCTGGGGCCCCTGGGCAGCAGAGGGAGACAGGCTGGTGTCGGGGGAAGGAAGGGAGCAAATACACTGAGAGGAGAAAGTGGAAACGCTTTGCGCGGGGTAAAAAGCAAACGTGGAAATGCAGAAATGGCGAGGAGTCCAGGTTCCGTCCTCACGGAGGCAGGTTTAAGGTGAGGCAGCAGCTCTTCTGCTGCGCCCTGGAGCTGGCCTCCGGAAGCCTAGACCATCAGGGTCCATTTCCAGCAGCGATTCCCACGCAGGAAGTGAGCGAGGGGTCATCCCGGAGGGCTCTTTCCTTTCCAGGACACAGAGCAGCTGTGTCTGAATTGCTGGGGGCGGAGAGGGGCACCCGAAGCATCCCAGAGCCCCCCCAAGAGTCCCTGTTGAAACGAGGTGCAAAGCGCCCTCCACCCCCAGGCACTGGGGAGTGGAAACCGAGGTTGAGAACCACTGGATCCTGAGATTGGGTCTTGGAGAAAATTACTTTTTGCTCATCTCCCAGTTTTCTGTTATGAAATTAAAATATTCACTTCTATTTAGACTCAGCCTCATTACTGTCTGCCACTTCACTTGGCTCTGCAATCCATTAAGACAAAGTTTAAGAAAACTAAATGTTTTCCAGCTCTGTTTCCTAACTCTGCTTAATTATGTAATTCTAAATATTTGTTGTTGCTTTTAAAGGTCTAAGAAAACTAAAATGCTGACTGTGCGTGGTGGCTCATGCTTGTTATCCCAGCACTTTGGGAGGCTAAGGATGGTAGATCACCTGAGGTCAAAAGTTTGAGACCAGCCTGGCCAATGTGGTGAAACCCCATCTCTACTAAAAATACAAAAATTAGCCATGCATGGTGGCGCACACCTGTGGTCCCAGATACTCGGGAGGCTGAGGCTTGAAAATTGCTTAAAGCCAGGAGGCAGAGGTTGCAATGAGCCGAGATTGTGCACTGCACTCCAGTCTGGTTGGCAGAGTGAGACTCAGTCTCAAAAAAAAAAAAAAAGAATAAAAACTAAAATGCTAGTTATAGTTAAAAAGTGCCTGAGCCTGGCGACAGTGCCTCTGTAGTCATACATGAGGGTGCTATTGGTAATCCATTGAATTGTAGCTTCTTATCAAGGGACCAGCACAGATGGCCCTGCAGAGCTACGAATGCTGTTGACTGCAAGAGGTTAAAATACCCGGAGCAGAAATTAGCTGCACTCTAAGTCCAAATGAATCTCTATTTTTGAAACGTCATTAAGGCATTTAAAATTCTACTGAGGGTGACCTGAGGCACCCGGTGTCACCCACCATTGAAGCCCAGAGAAGGCAGACACGGCCCTCCCTGCTGCCCCTTTCAGGCCTGCTGGCTGCCAGCATGTTACTGGCTCTGAGCGCCGTAAGTCATCTCCTTGTTTTTTCTTTCCAACCTCCAGAAACTGTTCAAGTTCCTCTAATTAAGAAGTGCAGCTAGCAGGGGCCAAGAACCCTCAACTACAAGGCAGGGAAATCAGCTACTTCTGATAAAGACCTTCAGAACCTAATCAGACACAGGAACAAACAAAACCACAAGGTATGTGCTATGATTCTATGGGAATGCACTGGGAGCTATTTCCCGTTCCTTTTCGACTTGTGAGACATCTTGTCATCTTGAATTTGGAATTGTTTTTTGATATGGGATTGTAAATCTTTTGTAGTTTCATTGTTCCTACTGCAGGACCTAAAACACTCATGTATTGGGAAGATAATTTTCTCTGAGTGGTTAGCAGGTGCCAAATGTAGCTCAAAACATCACTCAACAGCTCAAAAGCATCACTGAGGTCTTGGTTTACAACTGACCTTGTTTGCTAGGCCTGTTTCCCAATTCTACTTAATTACGTAATTCTCAATATTTGTGTTTGTGTTTTTAAAAAAGCCCTTAGAAGACAGGAGAATCACTTGAACCCGGGAGGCAGAGGATGCAGTGAGCTGAGATCACGCCATTGCACTCCAGCCTGGGCAAAAAGAGTGAAACTCTGTCTCAAATTAAAAAAAAAATCTCTTAGAATAATCTGAAACAAAAATTTGGTGCAAAATAACAGCACAGGCTGGGCGCGGTGGCTCATGCCTGTAATCCCAGCACTCTGGGAGGCCGAGGCGGGTGGATCATGAGGTCAGGAGATCGACATCATCTTGGCTAACATGGTGAAACCCCGTCTCTACTAAAAATACAAAAAATTAGCCAGGCATGGTGGCGGGCGCCTGTAGTCCCAGCTACTCGGGAGGCTGAGGCAGGAGAACGGCGTGAACCCGGGAGGCGGAGCTTGCAGTGAGCCGAGATCGCGCCACTGCACTCCAGCCTGGGCGACAGAGCAAGACTCCGCATCAAAAATAATAATAATAATAATAATAATAATAATAATAATAATAATAACAGCACAAATACAAAGCCTACCTGGGTTTCGGGAGAACTTCGGACCACGGTCTCGCTCCCGGTCCTGCTGCTCACAGAATGTGGGGAGGGGGTGGTGATCAAAAAATCAAGGGCGTTTGCAGTCTGCACCACGCAGAAAAGTGAGGCCACCACCCTGTTCCTTACTTAGCACCTTCCTTACCCAAGGCCCTGCACCAAGGACACGCCAGCCTCCTCTTCACCTGTTCATGTGACCCTCTTTTCACTGCTATCCTCCAAACTCAAATTCTTTCCCCAGCCTTTCTTTAGGATCACTGTATTATACACTTAAAATATGTTTGCAAGCTCTAGAATAAATAAAAGAATGTACTCACCCCATTTCAGGGTGAAACCTTCTAGCACAATTTGAAATATTTTTAAGAATACTACCAATCTGTAAACATCATGACTTACTAATTTAAAGGAATAGCAGGTAACAATGAAATAAATGAGACTGAAGGGAGATACAATTAAGATTGGGTGCAATGTACCAATCTTTGCTGTAATTATGTCAAGAAAATAACAACATCAAAAGAAAGGAAAAGAGTCAGTAGCGAAGAAGTGGATGATTTAGAGATGCACACTCTGAAAGCTTTTACTTATGGAAAATGCTGCCTTCCGTTTATCGTTCACTCCAACTGTGCTTGACGCCTTAGTTAATTGCACACTATTATTTTTGTTAAGACCAAACAAATTACAAATCAGCCTTTCACGCTTGGTTCAGAAGCCGGAAATGTCAGATTCCTTTTCCTGCAGCAGAAATCTTATATTTCCCTCAATCTCCCTGGGCAACTTAATCTAATGGTGATGTATGGAAGTTTCCATAGAATTCTATGGGGAAAGTCCCACAGGGATTTTGGGTGAGGCTTATTCTGCCCTAAGTGCACGCTGAGTGAGGGTGGCCTTTTTCTTCCTTGAGCCCTCCAATAGGTCGTTCTGTCAAGCCCGGCAGTTAGTGGCCTCTCATACCTGGCACTTGACAACTCCTCCTTGATGATGCTTCCACATGAGGCAGCACAGGGAAGATGCCCCCGGGCAATTCTCACTAAGCAGGAGCAGGAGGAGCTGGGCCCTGGCAGCTCCTTGAGGAGCACTGGTCTGCTTCAGCCATGCCACCCTCGGGAGCATGAGAACACAGGAACTGGCCTCACTCCTCAGTCCAGGATCCCTCTGTTGCCTGGGCTTCTGGGAAAGCTTGCATGCCCCGTCCACTGGAAAGCTGAATGCAAATCTGGGGTGGGGGCCTTGCCTTGCTCTTGCCCTTACCCTCAATGGTGGCCCTGCAGCTGCCGGCAGATCCCCCTCCTTTCTTGATACCAGGTCCCTGACTCTCAGGGTAGCCCATTGGCTGCTTTTTTCATACGCCTCCTCCCACATCTGGGTCTTGAGTCCTAGGTTGAGATTGTCTTTTCTGGTCGAGTCCTGACCAAGACCCAGTTCTGAAGTCTCGGAGCATCTTCTGGCCACAGAGACAGCATGGGGTGGTCTGAAAGGCCTGTAGAGGTTAAACGACCATCACCCTCGCTTGGGCTTGTCCAGCCTACTGGCCTTCATCATGGCCAATAAGGTCAAGTGCTGACCAACAGCTGCTGCAAAGCCTGCTGTGTTCACCTTTCCAACAAAGCTGGGGACGCCGAGGGCTGAGAGCCTGCGGCTTATCCAAATGGGACATTCGGTGGAGCTGGGAAACCAGTGGGAACCTGAGACCTCTAAACGGTGTGTGACTGGAGCCAAGGTGGGGATGGAGGGCCTTTAAGATTTTTCTCAGGATAGGGTGATCGGAATCATCTCACTAAAAGATTACGTGACAGCTAAATAATGTGTTTAACAGGAGCAAAAAGGAGACATAAATAAATATGAACAAATGGTCTGAGCACTGTAGGGCAGGTCTGTTTCTATTTGCTGATATTACAAACCTAGATCAGTAGTTATGGCAACACCACCCAGGCCCAGGAACTGATTTAGATATCATTGCAGGCTCCATTTCCACATAAAGGATAATATTCCTTCCTAGAATGATATGCCGGCGGGGGGGGGTGGTGGGTGCTGAAAAACACTGGGGATAGGAGGATGCTTTCTGCCTATAATCATCTCAGATGAGGACATTTCAATATTTCTAAACTATGGGAAAATCACTGGGAATACAATAAAAACAGCGTAGAAATCCTGGAGGATCAGTTAGCTGTATCCCACACTCTGTCCCATGAGAATGCAGAGTCTACCCACTTAAGTCTTCAGATTGGGGGAGAACCCTAGAGATAGCTGGTCAGTCTCTTCCCAAATGCAGAAAGCCTCACCCTAGATTTTGGGTCAATGCTCAAGGCCTCAGTTGACTGACCAGTTAAGAGAATGTGAAGCAGGCATTGGTATTCCACTGTTGAATAGCCTCCAATTGCAGTAAGACCATATGTCATATCACAGGTGTTTCTGAGAAACTTGGCTAGTCCTGCAGGTCGAATATTTCAGCTAGGTTTCTCTTAAATTCTACTAAAGAAAGGATCTTTCGTAAAAGTATTAATATTAGAAAGGATCCATGTAATTGACTACAGGGAAATTCTCTTTCAGTTGTACTGAAACAGTTGATGTTCATTCTGTGTGACTTGTGATAATTGCTGGGGTCCACAGCTTTTTACAAATTTTAAAATTTGATTTATGAACCGGTTTTTCACCTTGAAACAAAATGGTAGCCAAGAAGTTTTCAAGTGGGCATTGCATTCTGTAACAAAGAATGAATATCAACAACATTTAATGGCTAACAAGGACTTTTGATGTGCATTTAGGGAGCACAGAGGTAAATGTTTTAAATAAGAATATTCTTCTACATAATTTTCTAACTGAACGCCAGCAAAAGAAATCAAGCTAATTTAAAGATGCTACCAATGTAATGGAATTCTTATGATACCAAAGTTAAAGAGGTGAAAAAACCCAGATATCAATCTGTGCTGGAACAATAACATAATCCCATAAATCAGCCCCTGATGGTGCAAAATCATTTGATGATGGCATGTCAGCAAAGGCAACAGCAAGCGTCCACAGCAGTAGATTTATGAGGGCAAAAAGGAGGCTCTTCTGAGTTTCCTGTGAATCTCTGTAAAAACACAGTCATGGACGGAAACACCCGAGGCACCTGGAGGTGAATATTGCCATGAAACACTCATCATTATGAAAGCAGATATCTGTGTGCATTGGAGGCTGCTGTGTCTTGGCCATACATTTCTGTGCATTTAATTCAATAAATCTCCTTCTTCTTTAGAAGCAGGAACATCTATTGATCACCTTACCTATGCAAGGAACACGTGTCATCATTTCCTTTGATCCTCATGATTCATGTGAGCAGTTGGGTTTATGCTCCTTGCCTTTAGGGGAGGCATCTGATGCTCAGGGAGGTGGGTGCCTGCCCAGGAGTGAGCCACACTCAGAAGGGGTAAGGCGCTGGAGCCTTGCCTCTGCCTGCAGATCTCCAGCTTTATCCCAGCCCCACCCACCAATAACACCAGAGAACTGAGACACCTGTTGGGCTCCTAAATCTTGATCCCAGTTGCTCTGGCCCTGAGCTGCAGAATAAGGTTTAGGATCTTTCGCAAGACAGCCATCACCACCTAGAGCCACACACTACCTCGAGTTCTTAACCTGGGGCCCATGCACTCCTCCGGGTATATATATTTGGATGGGAAAAATGTCTCCATTTTCACTAACTTTGAACTGCAATTCAGCACTTCCTATAATTAGGATTGAAAGAAACCACAGCAGTATTAGCAATGCCTTGGCTTTGTCACCAATAGGCAAATGTTTTAAAATCGCATTACAGTTGTGATATTGTTGTAGATATTTTGAAATGTCATTGATATTCATTATTGTCAGATTAGGAGAGTGTTAGACCTGCCTCTAGATCTTAATATTTAATGTGTTAATAAAGTGCTTTTTAATTTATTTTAGTTCATCATGTTTTAAAAACATGTTCTGATAACTGTATTTAAATATAATTGGCTTCCTTTGAAATCCTATGCATTTTGTTTTGTGCAACGAAAGACGTTATTCTGGGGAGGAGTCTGCAGGTGTCCCCAGACACCTCGAGGCCATGCAGTCCTCCAGGTGGCTTCGAGGGGTTTGGGGCAGCAGGAAGGGACTCCTGTGGTTGGTCACCTGTTTCTCTTTGACCGATCATCAAGAATAACCAAGAGCCCTCTATCTCTCTTATGAAAAGGCAGATGCCAGGATACCCTCTTAAATGAAATTACTAATAAAATAAGCACTTTAATTCAATTCAGTTCCAACTCACTTTTTATTAGATCAGTTTTATTTGTGACTTACGGTAATGTCCTTTAAGTGTTGTGAAATTTTTATCTTTATAGTTAGAGTAGCAGTCTTGTATGAGTTCTCTAAGATAATGATGTTTCATAGGGTACATTATGAAAGAGATCAAAGGAAGTCAGCAGGGCTCTGGAGGGGTGGGGTCACAGCCACCAGTCTCTGCAGCTCTCCTGCATTAGTTTTAGGCATTGTTCACATTGGATGAAGGCACTTCCCCTGGAGGATCCTAACCCGCTACTGTGGACAAGGCCCCTGGCTTTGCTGTGCTCTTCTCTCCCACCCAACCTGGAGGAGGAAGGCTCCCACCCGAGAGGTGCTGTCAGACGCAGGCACATGTGCGCTGCAGGAGAGGGCTCTGATAAAGAACAGCCTCCTTGCACAAAGCCAGGTTAAATACATTATGATTCATTTAGTATTTTGATGACTCTTAAAAAGTTACATTTTAAAGGCTTCTAATACTCAACTAGTTACAGTTAATTTAAGCTTGTAACTCACTCAATTCTGGTGAAGTTTCCACTATGGTATTTTTATTTTTCCTTGGCTGAGAAGCAGAGTTGAGTAGCATATGTCACTAATCATGAGGGACTCCAGCACAAATTAATCCTAGCAGCAATTGATCTTTACTTGGTATAGTTATATCCAATTCCTGACAGACATCTTACGGGAAGCAATATGGGCACCCAATCTGACACTAAGTAATCACCCTAATACATACATATTGATCCGTAAGGCAAAAATAATTGGTTTAATAATTTTGTGCACAAAATGTCCAAATTCATAAAATATTAATCACAGCTTTTTATTAGAACCAAAATGTAATAAGTTCTGTAACTCCATATTCTGATATTTGCAAATGTCTGATCTTCAAGATCAAAAAATGAGAATTACCCTTCAAATATTTTTCTGGAAATTTTCCCTTCAATTTCCAAGTGAGCTGAGGACAATTCAACTTTACGTGTAACTGATCCTTTACCAGACAGTATTTCCTTAGCTCCTTCATCAAAGAACTCAGTCAAACACCTCGAGAATGCCTGCCAAATACTGTGATGAAGAATTAGTATTTATTTTAGAGAAATTATTTTAAGGTAGACATTCCTTCAATCTGAGTGATTTTACCAATGTAACAATTATGTTCAAAAAGCACTTCTTTCTTGAGTTATTTTCAGAATCTCTAAAATGCCTTTCCCTTTCATATACAAAATAAATAAAGCTGTAATAATTATCTTTCTCCTACGGTTTGAAGCAATTAACACATTCATCGATTTTGCTCAATCAATACAAGGAGCTTATGATGAATCTGGGCCAATATATTTGTCCAACGTTGCTGATAATTCCGTACCATGTGTCAGACTTGATGGATGCACCATCCGTCCTCTCGTGGATTGATTCTGAGTATTGTAGGAAAACCATGCACCATGGAACTGCAGAGGCATTCCTAACATCCATATGTGCCATGAGGAACAATAATGCTACACGTGGTACTTGCCAACTAGACACCTCCTCAGGACCAGGTGGCTCTGGCACTGGACTGGTTGCCTGGTGGCAGCTCAGCTCTGTGCATGATTCAACCTCAGCAAGCCTCAGTTTCTTCCTCTGTAAAATGGGAATAACAACAGCACCTACCTCTTAGGCTGCTACAAGGATTTAATCAAATCATTCACATTAAGCATTCTGCACAGCAGCTGACCCACAGTAAGCACTTACGTTGCATCGCAAGAAGGGGCAAAATGAAGAGGATGGGGAGTCTGCTCAGGGAAACAGATCTTGTGGCAAACATCTATTTGGCACAAACAAAGTGTTGGACATTTAGCAAAGAGAAGGGGCAATACAGTTGTAATTATGTAAACTGGCAGGATAAGCACAGAAATGAACTTTTTCTAAACAATGCCGAGCTTCCTCCTCTGCAGTTCAGAGGAGGAAGTCATCGCTTTTATTGAAGGAGTGGTTGAGGAGCTGTTTGCAGAGAAGTTGGGGCATCTGGGCAGGGTTTTTAAGGATGGCCAGGGACTCACCTGGTGAAGATGGGCAAGAGGGGCTTCCAGGCAGAAGGGGCTGGTGGAAGAGGAGCCTCAGTGGGGGCTGTGGCGGATGCAGGAATGCCATCATGGCTGTACAGTGCTGGGAAACTTGAGCTCTATTTCATAAGGTTCATAACCAGATGTGATAAAGCTAGGTCTGCATTTTAGAGGAGCCATGCAGGTGGCATCAGGGAGGATGGACAGGGACAGAGAGACTGGATGGGGGCACTGCAGGAATCCAAGCAGAGGACAGGCACCCACGAGGCAGGAGCACAGGGCTGGAGAGGAAGAGAGCGGGAGAGGAGAGCCTAGCACTGAAGAATAGGAATAGAAGAGGCTCGGTGAGTGTGGCTCCCTGACCATGCCCAGCCCTGCTGGCCAGGTAAGGGGCAAGGTCGGGCAGCTTCTTCTGGCTTCTGCAGACACACCTGCCCTCATCTCACAATCCTCTGCCACCTGATTGGTCCCAAATCTGCTCTCCCAGTCCGGTGTCCTTGGTCCTCCCACTCAGCTGGTTTCCTCCCAGCCTTGTGGGATTAGCAGGCCAGGGAGAGGACCAGGGGAGGGTCGCAGACGTTACGCAGAATGGGGAAGGGTCGTCATGGGAATGCCAAGGGCAACGTCACTACAGTGCTCAGTGAATGAATGAATGATGTGTGTAACAATGAGAAAATAACTGAACAATTAAACCTTAGCTTAGCTTGCCGACTTACTGAGTAGGAAAGTGTAGACATTACTGGAAACATTTCTGCCATTACTACAACTTCTTGGTCAGTGTGGGGGCATGCCTGGCCTTTCCATTTATCAGCAATGAAACCGTATTCCAAAAAACACTGAGTGACTAATGCCCCATGTTAATGTCGAGTCTCAATCACCCTTAAGTAGAGTGTTTCCTCTAAGAACATCACTTGGAATTTCTGAAGACCCTGCTGATCCCAGGACCCCACTGTGCCCATGTCCCCACTATATACCCAGGCCACTGTCTATTGTCAGATCCATGGATATTTCCTAAATATTAACAAAAAGATACTTGTGAAGCCACTTGGCAGGTCAAAAGCAAATGTGAAGGGTTTTGTCTTCTCCCCATTAGAGGGTACGTTCCCTGTGGCAGGCACTTGATGTGTATCTGATCCCCCAATGATGCCTAGGAAGTTCCTGCATGACGGGAGGCACTCGATTCCCGTGCTGTATTAATTTGTCAGCCACGGCTCTGGAGGGTCTGCTCACACCACCCTCCGCAGCTGCGTCTCATCGAGGGTGGAGGGAATCATCCCTACATTTTCTTTTTCAGGGTTTACACTCCCTCGTAGTCTACATAAGCAGTCCAGGGAGGAAGGCTGGCTTTAGGATGGCATCTCTACAGAAGTCGGGCTTTGAAGGCGCTGAGTCAGGGTTGACCTAGGACAGGGAGTGTGAGCCAGGTGGGGTGGGGAGGTTGGGGGGATTAATTATCACCACTTCTGAAGCTCTGGGCTGTGGTTACTGGTGGGTGAGGCTGTGTCTGCCAGATGGGTGGGGAGGGAGGAGGTGGACCATGGCCAGCGTCAGGCAGCTTTTCCAACCCGGGCTGCCCATTAGAATCATGAGGAGCTCTTTGGACCAGCCTCTGTCAGGGCCTGATCCTAGACCACAAAGTCTGAGTCTTTGAGGGGACAGCCCTGGTACTGAAATAATCTGCACACTCCTCAGGGCATCTAATGTGCTGCCAGGGTTGGGAACCACTGGCAGAGAAGAAAGGACTAACACTTGTGGCCAGCCGTCCTCTCCCCTCCCGACTACATCAACACATCTAGGGCAGCAACAACCTCTGATTCTAGGAGCTCCAAAGTGGGGCTCAAAATCCCTGCCACAAGTGTCTGTTTTGTTTCCTGAACTATAAAAGCCATTTCTGCTGGTGTCTTATCTGCCTCTGACATGGTACTAGTGAGGCTGCCTTCCTTCTAAACCTGGGTGTGGACGAGTCTCTTCCTGACGATGAGAAGGGAGACACTGACCAGGTTGTGGGTGTCAGGCCTTCATTCAGACTTCAGCTTAGTGTCCACATGGGCACATTCCACTAAGAAACAGCCATGAACCTACACTGTCCTTACAGAGAAAACCCAATCTCCCCCATCGCTTAAGGGAAATCAGAAAAGTATACAAAAATACACTACAACCCTCTTCCTGCAAGTTCAGATTCTCAAAGTCTCATGGTGAAGTAAAAGTAGCTTCTACCAGGAGCTGCCCCATGCACCCCGGGCTGAGCTGCTGGAGCTCTCCAAGCGGGTGTGGGGCTATTTTTAGGATGCAGTCCTGCCTGTGTCCTCCTGCCTGCCCTACTTGATAGAAGAACAAGTAGCTATTTTTTCCTCTGAACAGTCCAGTGTATCGATACCTCAAGCTGCACAGTCATCGGTGGTGGCAATAATCTCCGTGCCCTGTACACAGTGCAGGACACAACACAGTGACTCATAAGCACGCTACCAAAAATCCACGTCTCCCTGGACGAATCAGATGGCGTTACCCACCCCTGCCAGTCACTATTTTTGCTCTAGGTTGTTCTAGCTTCCCTCCGGGTGTGCAGCCATCTCTCTGCTCAAAGCTGCGGGCAACATTCTCCATCCAGTGCCTCCCTCCGTGTGGCTTCATCTACTGCTTTTCAAACTAGCACAGCAGTTGCAGAAACAAGATGAGCAACTGGTTAAGAAATGCCTGTTTGGTTGTGTTATGGGCTGAATTGTTTCTCCTCCCTTCACCAAGGTACATGGTGAACCCCTAACCCACAGCACCTCAGAGGGTGACCTTATTTGGAGACAGGGTTTTTAAGAGGTAATTAAGTTAAAGTCAGGTCAGGAGGATGGGCCCTAATCCAATCTGACTGTGTTCTTACACGAAGAGGAGATTAGGACACAGACACACACAGAAGGAAGGTCATGTGAGGACACAGGGAGGACACAGCATCTACAAGCCAAGCAGGCAGGACTCAGGAGAAATGAGCCCTGCTGACACCTTGATCTTGGACTTCCAGGTCCTCTGTTATGGCAGCCCCAGCAACCTAATACAGGGCCTTTAAACATTTTGTGTGTTGTATGGCTGGGTGAGGTGGCTCACACCTGTAATCCCAATACTCTGGGAGGCCGAGGTGGGAGGACTGCTTGAGCCCAGGAATTTGAGACCAGCTGGGCAACATAGTGAGACCCCTATCTCTACAAAAAATAAACAAAATTAGCTGGGCAAAGTGGTGTGCACCTGTAGTCCCAACTACTTGGGAGGCTGAGATGGGAGGATTGCTTGAGCCCAGGAATTAAAGATTACAGTGAACAATGATCATGCCACTGCACTCCAGCCTGGGTGATAGAGGGGACCCTGTCTCAAAAAAAATCTCTGTGTTATAGCCGGTTAGAAGCCCACAGATTTTAGGAGCCCAACAGGCTGTTCATCTTTGTCACTCTTTCTGATGAGACTGCTGGTTTTACAGTCATAAGTAAAGTGCTATTTCTAGGCCTAGTATTTTGGAAGATGGGCTTTATGTATGTCTCTGTGTGTGTGTGTGTGTGTGTGTGCACATGTGTGTGCACTTGTGCTTCCCAGTGACACCATGGTGTGGCCCCCTCTCAGACCTAAGGTGGATTTTAGTGACATCACTGCATATCATTTCACAAAGCTGAGCTGCAGAGCCCTTTACTGTTTCCTTACACTTAGACAAGTTTCCTTTATTAAAAAACATCCAGAAACTGTCAGGCAAACAGAACTTGTCCTGAAATTGCTTTCCAATTTTAAATTCAAACAGTTAAGACTCAAGGATGCTTTAGTCCTGATGTTCTGTGAATCTTTTGCGGATGGCTGGCTGAGCAGCTCTTCTCTGTGGATAGAAAGGATTATCACAATGGTCACAGTTAATAAACGACTGCCTGGAAACAGCAAGGTGCTTGGATGGCACCTGGCCCGACTGCCATTTCCAACAGCTTTTACTCATGCTGATGAAATTTCAGAGCCTTGCCACTCATGAGCTGTTATGAGAGCATGTGGCTGTATAAACTCCACCTGACTCTGTGAAACTACAGTTTCCTCACCTGTACAACGACCATCAAAAGAGCAGAACCAGGGAGATTCAAACATCCTCAAACATCCTATGTTCTCTGCTGGCCCAGAGTTTGGCACAAGCAAGTAGGAAATGCTTCCTGCTGCTGCTGCTGCTGCAGTTATTATTACCAACACTGTGTGCATGCCGAATTGTATGGTTGGCTCTGAGGGGCCAGGAGAGGAGTGAGGAATTGTCACTCAATTGCCATTTGGTTCCCTGCCCCTGGCGATGCCTAATTAACTAAAAAGGGGACACTCAGGAGGTGAGCCACAGTGAAAGCAGGGCTCTGAGTCAGTGCACCATCAAGCAGCTTTTGGGGACCCTGCTGCTGCACACACAACTGACAGAACAAGGTCCCTGGCCAGTCACGCCATCGTCCCACGCTCCAAGCCTGGAGTGGAAGCCAGTAAACTCTGGCACTCTTCATGGCCAGCATTCCCCAATGCTGATGCTACTTTGTCTAGGTTTACAGAGTCCGAAAATGCAGTTTTTGTAGGTTAAGCTACCTACTAGGTGCAAGCACTGTGCTGGGATTACAGGCTACTTTCATTTCAAAACCAACATCTTCCAGCTTTTGAAAGGCAAAAATCTTACACTGGAGCTGTGGGTTGTATTCTTTTGGTTCAGTAACTAATAAAGGATGCAAATAATTATCTAAAAGTATACTTTTAACATTTTCACCAGTTCATTCTAAAAGTACAGAGTTTTAAAATCCAATTATAAAAAACTAAGAGTTACCTAAAAATGCCTCTAGTCAAAAGAGGGTTTAGTAATAGACAAAGGGGGAAGATATGTATATCATTATTTCTACATAGAATATATCATAGAGGAAATTTATATATTAATTTAATTTAAGACAACCAGAATTCAGACAGCAACATGCAAGAGATTTTGGTAACACAGGCCAGAGAGTCTCTTAAAAGCCTCACGAAATGACTGAATTTATCATATGATGTGATAAACCTAAGCTTTTTATTGTACACAAAACTGTTAAGCAGATATTTTTATGTTACACACAAAACTCTTAAAATTGTTTTACAATTTCTCTAGAAGTATAGAAACAGCGTATCCTCAATTCACAAAGTTCAGCTGAGCAGTGAATGTTTTCCTCTATAAAAGAAGCAAACCAGCCTTTTCTAACTCTGCAGCTTATGAAAATGCATCCTAAAAAAGAAATCCCGAGAAGTATCAGAACATAACTAGAATATAACGACTCTCCCTTTTAAAGTAATTATCGGTTTGGTAGCTGTCCCAGTTCTCCTTGAATACCTAATCAGGTATTTTGATTGCTTTCCCAAAGCATATTACCTCTAACTGAGGAAATAATTTGGTAACTACCATATGTGCTCTGAACAACCAGTAGGTAGTGAATTTGCAAAAGTACATAAAGAGACAATCAACCTCAGGTTACCTGAAACACCATCAGAATCCTTTTGTGCACAGAATCCTAAAACATTAATGACTATTCATTTCTTCCTTTCTTTCATTGCATTTTGAATATTTTATGTATGCCACACATTACCCTCTCTTAGACAGCTGTATGTTGGAAGCAGCATGAAAAAATGCAAAGAAATTGAACTTGCACTTTAAAAAGTGCTGAGATTTTGCCTCTATTTAGATGTGGAATAGACAACATAACATGACATGCTAGGTGGAGGGCAATGGGTTCAGTTAGGATTTTATCAAAGTAAGAAATGAAAAAGTTGATAATTACTTTCAATAAAGAAATCTCTCACTTGCAAACTGTATGTTAGAATCTCAATTTTAAATACAGAGAAAAGAAAATATACTTACAAGGACCCGTGTATTTTATATATTGCCCATTGCTATATTGCCGCTTGGCATATGGGCACCAAAGGAATTATTATTATACACAGCATTAATGTAGAAATAGGAAACATTTAATTTCCTGAGGTCCCTCTCTCTCTTAAAAAAAAAAATCCCCATTTCTCATTTCAAACCTTTGTTTTCTCGCATCTTTCAAAATATAGGCAGTGGTCCAGTTCATCTCTAAGATCTCTTCCAAGTCTAAAATGTTAGGACTCTGTGATCCCAGAAGGGAATACACATTCCTCTTCCCCTGATCCCCAATGTCATCTTCATTGCGAAGAATGAAAAACAATAACAGACTGTTCCAAAGAATTCTGATTAGCAATGATTCAAGAAGCAAATAACCAAGGCATTTCTGCAAAGAATTCTTCCACTTCATTTGTATAAATCCTGTTTGAAAAATAAAACTGAGATCCCCTACCCCCCATGCTTGCATTCTATCACATGAACCTTTCATCAGACTCAACATGTAACTGCAGGATGGAAAATAAACCTCTGATATTAAAGCACTAAGCCTCCCTCAGCTGAAGATGTTTTTCTAGAGTTGTTACACCTATGCTATTTCTAACTCGGGAAATGTGTGGAACCTAAACCTTAGAAAAGAAGGACTGGCAGGATGGGTCAGGAATTACCTGACCTTCTCTGCTGGAGTTAGGATGCTATTTGTTTGGAATCCCAGGGGTTCCAGCTTTAGTGAAATTGGCAGAACAAGCATTATTTGATTAGTGTGAAAGAGCCTGCAGTGAAAGTGCCAGGCAGGGAAGAAGTGATGGCTTCTGATAGGCCGCCTGTAGAAAGATCAAGCCGAGGTCATTTGGGGTCTTTTAAAGAAAACGATGATTTTTTCATAAATCTAAAAGATGCCCACACAGCAATGTAATTTTCTTAAGTAATGCTTAATATTGATTCAGGAAAACACCAGAGAACTCAACCGCAGTCGACAGCATATAATTCGAGCAGATAACACCATCACGCACTCACCCTGCTCTCAAGTACTTTGGGGTTTCTTTGCGTAAAGCTGCCATCTGATGCAATAGGTGAGAAGGCTCAGGAGAACTGTTTGGCCCTTCGTTTCGTATTTCGTTAAAATCTTTAGCCCTGATAAAGGATTTAACTGCTTGGGGCAGTGAGGTAAGGGGATGAAGAAAAAGAAGCAGGTCTGAAAGAGACCAAGACCTGGAACGTCTACCCCAGAGGTGGTGGTCCTAAGGGGTTCGGGGAAGGAAGGGGGTGCTCTGAGGGGAAAACAGGCATTGCCGTGGGGGGGGGGGGTCTGGTCTTGTCTCTTAAGGGAATGCCCAAACCACACCGCCGCCTCTCTAGAGTGAGTTCCCAAGAGCAAAATTTCCACCTTTCCAGGAGAGGCAGCCCAGAAGAAGGCAGGGGGCGGATTTACAAGCAGGCAGCTGTCCCTCCCCACGGCACCCACCTGCAGATCTCCCACCCGAGTCCCCTGCGGAGGAGCCTTGTGTGTGTGTGTGTGGGGGGGGTTGGGGAGGTGGGAGATCAGCTAGGTTGGACACTTAAATCCTGAGGTCCAGAAAAAGTTCTCACCTTCATAGAGATTATAGGGACAGGAGATTGAGGAGCAGACAAGAGAGGGGCGAGAAAAGGTGAGACGGAGGGGAAAGAAGAGTAGGGGAGCCAGGGAGGGTGGAGAAGGAAAAAATGAAAAAGGAACGGGGGTGGGAATAGATGGGGGGACAGAGAAAGGGGTGAGAGGAGAAAGAGTCCAGGAGGAAAGGGAGAGGAGGGTATGGGAGAGGGAGGCTAAGGAAGAGGGATGGAAGAGAACTATGAAGGGATGAGGAGAGAATGAGCAAGCTAGAGAGACCAGAGAGACGGCAGAGACCGATACCAGAGAGACGGGCAGAGACTGAGACCAGACGGGGACGGGAGAGACGGGACGGAAAGCAGGGGCAGGAAGAAAACGCTCAGGGAAAAGAGGTGGAGGCGCTCGGAGCATCCCCGTGGGGCGCTGGTGTAGTCAGAGCAGGGAGCGAGATGGCCGGAGGGGCCGGCGCTGGCCCTCACCACGGGGCCCGGGCGCCCGGCGGCGCTGCAGACCCGATCTCGGCCCCGCGCCCCCAGCCCCGGCGCGCTCGCCTTACCTGGCCCTTGACCAGGCTGGCTGCGAACTGGCGCATGACGGCCTCCACGGTGTAGGCGCTGGACCAGCCGCGCGGCGTGAGCAGCTCCATGCAGATGGCGCCGCCGTCCAGCACGTAGCCGTTCTCCAGGCGCGGGCTGAGCACCCGCATGAAGGGCGGCGAGAAGGGGAAGTTGTCGGGGAAGGTGAGGTTGAGCAGGATGAACTCGGTGTTGGTCTCCTTCATGTCCTGCCACAGCACCGAGTCCTTGTCCACCTGGTGCAGCTTCACGTTCCAGTCGAACAGGCTCTCGTCCACCAGCTCCACGGAGATGAAGCGGTCGCTAAGGCGCGCGATGTCCTGCAGCTCCTTCATGAGCCGCCGGCTGCGCACCTGCGTGCAGTGTTGCTGGCGCGCCGCGGGGACCAGGCTGCCGCCCGCCGCCGCCGCCACCGCCGGGCCCGGCCCCGCCCTGGCGCCCGCTGCCCTCTCGCGGGGGCCCCCGGCCCCCGCCGCAGCCGCCGCCGCCGCCGCCGCAGCCGCCGGCGCCTTGTCGCGCGGGGCCAGCTCCGCCGCGCGCTTGCCCTTTCCCTTGCCGGGTCCCGGGCTGGCGTCGCCCGCGCCCCCGGGGTGCTGCTGCTGCTGCTGCAGCTGCTGCTGTTGCTTGTGGCCGCCGCTCTTGGCGCCGCCCTTGCCGCGCAGAGACGCGCTCTGCTGGCCGCCGCCGCGGTGGTTGTGGTGGTGCTTGGGGTCCTCGGTGTCCCGGTTATGCAGGCGGATGAGCCCGATCTTCCGCAGCAGAGTGGCCATTTTAGGCTCGGCGCCGGCTGGGGGCTCCCCTCGGCTCCTCCCCCGGAGCCCGCAAGCCCGGGCGCGGGGGGCGCGGGGCGGCGGCGACGGGCGACCGCTCAGCGGGGCGAGGCAAGGGCCACCCCAGGCGCCGGCGGCCGTGGCGCAGCGGAGCAGGCAGCACGCGCGCTCGCCGGCTGCGGCGTCGCCGCTGTCATATGACGGGGCCCGCTCCGGCTCGCGCTCCGGCCGCCCGGGGAGGGGAGGCGTGGAGGGGACGCGGCGCGGGCGGGGGTCCCCGGGCCGGTCCCTGGGCACAGCCCCCGAGTCCCGGCGTCTGCTGTCCTTTGTGCGCGGCCGTGGCCGCGCTGGCCCCGAGTCCGAACGCCGCGCTGGGGAGCGCAAAGCCTCTCGCAGTGCCCCGGAGGCAGCGAGTGGCCGCGGGCTCGCGCCTGGCGCTCCTGCTGGCCGTGCCGCGCTGGCGGCTACCGCGGGGCCCGGGCTGCTGCCGCTCGCGTCGCCGCCGCCGCTGCGGCTGCTGACATTGCAGAGGCGGCTGCTCCGTCTGAGCCGAGCTAGGCGCGTAGGGGGCGGCCCTGCTGGCCGGGAGGCGGGGCGCGGGGCGGAGCCGCCGGCTTGCCTGCGCCGAGCCGCCCCCGCCGCCCGCTCCCGCGGCGACACGCGCGCGGCCGCTTGGGGGAGACCGCGGTGCGCGCCGGGCCGGCCGGGCTGGGGGCTGCTGGGGGCGCAGGCCAGGCCGGGGAAGCCGGGCGGGGGCGGGGCGCTGGGGGTGAGCCTGGCGCTCTCGCCGGGGGTCTCAGGCACGGGGCCCTCCTGCCCTGATCTCAGGTCGCCGCGGCCCCCAGCCCGAGCCTCAGACCCCACTTAACCCCGTTAGCGCGATCTGGGTAAGGTTGGGAGGCAGCCTATAGATGCCTTCGGGTCGGAAGGAGCCTGGCCTTTCCGCACAGCTCGGGGCCCGCGGGGGCCGCTTTCTTGAGGACCGATCCAAGAATCGGGGCCGGGGAGTGGGATGCCCGGAGCGTGCCCGCCGCGATCCCCGAAGAGAAGCCCCCTGAGTCACGACTTTGTTTCGCCAGTTCACCCCTCCTCGCCGACCCCGCTCCCCTTGCGCCTGCCGCGCCGAGGGCCTCCGGGTTCCCAAGAGGGGTCCCGGGAGGAGGGGCCCGCGGAGCGCTGCCTGGTGACTCCTTTCTGAAGGCTGCGGAAAAGCGCGCCCAGCGCGGGCTGTCGGGGCTCAGGGACAGGGCACCCCCTCTGCGGACCCCGGAGTGCCCCCGGCACGGGATCGGTCTGCCTTCCACTGGGATGCTCGCATCCGCGCCTCCCTTTCTTCCTTGAACCCATTAAACTCTCTCTTCCTCTTTTTTTAATCTGGCGAAATTTCAAGCAAAAACCAAGTTTAGATCCCCAGGAGCTGGAAGGACTGGGAACCGCGAAGCTTCCATGTTTGCAGGAAGCATCCTGCTCTGCACTGTGTGGTGTGTGTGTGCGAGCGTGGTGTGTGTGCATGTGATGTGTGAGTGTGGTGTGTGGTGTGTATGTATGTATGGTGTGAGTGTGGTGTGGTGTGTGTGTGAGTGTAGTGTGTGTAGTGTGTGGTGTTTGCATGGTGTGTGTGAGCATAGTGTATGAGTGTGTCGTGTGTGAATGTGTGATGTGTGTGTGGTGTGTGTGGGGTGTGAGTATGGTGTATGAGTGTGTGGTGTGTGTGCATGTGTGTGCTTGTGTGATGTGTGAATGTGTGATATGTGTGGTGTGTGTGTGGGGTGTGTGAGCGTGGTGTATGAGTGTGTGATATGTGTGTGCGTGTATGTGGTGTTAGTGTGTGAGTGTGTGGTGTGTGACTGGGATGTGGTGTGAGGGTGTGGTGTGTGTGTGCTGTGTATGTAATGTGTGTATGGTGTGTGTGAGAGTGATGTGTGAGTGTGTGAGGGTGTTTTGTGTGTGGTGTGAGGGTGATGTGTGTGGTGTGTGTGTGTGGTGTGTGTGTGGTGTGTGTGAGTAGTGTGTGTAATTGTGTGTAGTGTGTGGTGTGTGTGGTGTGTTGTGTGTGAGCGTGGTGTGTGTGCTTTGTGTGAATGTGTGGTGTCTGAGTGTGGTGTGTGGTGTGTGTGGTGTTTGCATGGTGTATGTGAGCATAGTGTATGAGTGTGTAGTGTGTGAATGTGTGGTGTGTGTGGTATGTGTCGTGTGTGTGGTGTATGAGTGTGTGGTGTGTGTGTAGTGTGTGTGCATGTGTGTGCTTGTGTGTGGTGTGTGAATGCATGATATGTGTGGTGTGTGTGGGGGTGTGTGAGCGTGGTGTATGAGTGTGTGGTGTGTGTGTAGTGTGTGCGTGTGTGTGGTGTTTGTGTGTGTGTGGTGTGTGACTGATGTGGTGTGTGTGTGGTGTGTTTGTGGTGTGTGTGTGAGGGTGTGTGTGGTGTATGAGTGTGTGGGAATGTGTGTAGTGTGTGCGTGTGTGCGGTGTGTGTGATGTGTGTGTGATGTGTGTGGTATGAGTGTAATGTTTGTGGTGTGTGTGTGATGTGTGTGGTGTGTGGTGTGTGTGTGCAGTGTGTGTGTGGTGTGTCTGTGTGTGATGTGTGTGGTGTGTGAGTGTGTGTGGTGTGTGGTGTGTGAGTGTGTGTGGTGTGTGGTGTGTGAGTGTGTGTGGTGTGTGGTGTGTGAGTGTGTGTGGTGTGTGGTGTGTGTGTGCGGTGTGTGGTGTGTGTGAGTGTGTGAGTGTGTGTGTGGTGTGTGGTGTGTGTACGGTGTGTGGTGTGTGTGTGTGTGTGTGTGCGGTGTGTGGTGAGTGTGTGAGTGTGTGGTGTGTCTGTGAGTGTGTGATGTGTGGTGTGTGTGTGAGTGTGTGAGTGTGTGGTGTGTCTGTGAGTGTGTGATGTGTGTGGTGTGTGTGGTGTGTGTGTGCGGCCGAGCTGTCCAGCGGTGAGGCTGTAGTGGTGGCGAAGTACAGGAGAGATTACGCCGGAAGCCTGCATGGTTTAGGATTGTAAACCTTGCTGCCGCTGCTGCTGGTGGTTTGGCTTTGAACTTGAGGAGCGTCCGAGTTCTCCAGGAAAGCCTTTCACTCTGGGTGCCGTCATGGTGACTTCTTGTTTTTAACTTCTTTTACCATTTTTACCTTTTCTAAGTTATTAGAAATTTTCACTGAAAAATAACTCTTCTGGCCACTGTGGAAACAGTTTCAGGCCTGAAAGGTTTGGGGTCGGGTGATTTGGGGTTGTCTGCGGGAGAGCCAGTTGACAGCGTGAGCTAAAAGAGTAGGGGTGCCTGCACGCCTGGGTCCCCGAGAGGCGACCGGCAGACGAGTGCGTCTGCAGAGGGCTGGGGGCCTGTGCTCTCAGGTGGGTGCCCTGGCAGTGGGAATCTCAGCTGCGACGGGAGGGCCTATTTGCCCTGGTTTCATGGTTGATTTTGTTTTGTTTTGAGACCTTGCTCTATCCAGCTGTTTTGTCTGTTTGTTTGTTTGTGTTTTTTGTTTGTTTTTATATGTATGTATGTATTTTTAAGATAAGGCGAGAAGGATGACAGTGTCTGTCTGTAAAGTCCTGGGAGCTCATCTAACATGAGGGACCGGGCAGGTCGGCAGGCTCTACATGTTTGATTTAACTTCCACAGAGGCCCTCTCAGATTTCATCTGACCCCTTTCACTGGTGTAGAAACGGAGTCTCAGGGAGGCCCAGCAGCTTCCCCAGCTCAACCACGTGCTGGGAGGCCCAGCTGGGGTCCACACCCAGCGGGGACCCCCTGTGCCAGCTCCGTGCTTCTCTACCTGATGCCCCACGCCGGCTGCATTGCTGGGTCTCAGACTCAGTTGCGGTCTCTGTCCTGCCCTGGGAGGTGAGAAAACGTCTCCTGGGCGTGATTGTCCGGATTTCAGAACCCACTGACCTGGGCCGAGGCTTCAGAAACTCTTTGTAGCAGTGACAGCAACTGATCCCACTTGAAGGACACACGTCATCAGATGTGGTTTGGGAGTGGTTTAGCTGAAATTGCATGCAGCTTTCTGTGAGGCCTCTGTTTCTGAATGGAGTTATTGCTAGGGAGATCAAATACCTTACTGTCTGGTTGTAGATTTTTTTTTTGTAAGTGGAAGGATCACAATTAATACTGATGCTGGGTCTGGGCTCACGCCTGTAATCCTAGCACTTCGGGAGGCCAAGGTGGGCAGATCACTTGAGGTCAGGAGTTTGAGACCAGCCTGGCCAACATGGTGAAACCCCATCTCTACTAGAAATACAAAAATTACCCAAGTGTGGTGGTACACACCTGTAATCCCAGCTACTTGGGAGGCTGAGGCAGGAGAATCCTGCCAGGAGGATTCTGAACCCAGGAGGTGGAGGCTGCATCGAGCTGAGATTGGGCCACTGCACTCCAGCCTGGGTGACAGAGCAAGATCCTGTCTCAAAAAAAAAAAAAAAAAAAGAAAAGAAAAGAAAAGAAAAGAAAAGAAAAGAAAAGAAACTTTTGCTGAGACAAGAGGCCAAGCCAGAACAGGCTGGCATGGAGATGGTCATCACCTCTCTTGTTCCTGTCCCTCACACTTAGAGCACCTTGGATCAACTCTTAAAAAGGCTGGAGCTAAAGGTTAGTTAAAGATTGGAAACAACCTAAATTTACAATAGGAGGGAAAGTGTTAAGTAAATCACACTGAATCCACTTAGAATATATTTTGCAGCAAGAATGTTACAGTTATCAAGATTATATCGCAAAATGGAAATATTCATGATCTACATAATAATTTTAAGTGAGAAAGTAGAGTGCAAAATTATATCCACATGGCAGCTACAACTACATATAACTATGCACAGGAAAAAAGACTAGAAGGAGAAATTTTGAATGATGTTATCACTATTATCATGTTAGTACAGGTAGAACATCTCAATTTCGTCCTTCCTCAGTTCTCCAGCCCATGGATCCAAACATTTCCTTCAGTGACAGGATGGTCAGGTCAGGGGTGGGCAGAAGGGGCTGTGTGGTTTGTAAACCCCCCTCCTTCTTCCATCTCAGAAGATTCTAGAAAGTTCTGCTTTACCCCTGGCATGAACAGATATTTACCCAGCCCAGCAGTGTGTAGAGGTTACATTGTGTTTTAGTTATTCCATTTTGATTTTCAAATATTCTAAAATGGAATGTGTACCAGTAAAAATGAAAAAAAAATTATTACCGAATGTTGTCATTTTATTGAAGATTAGACTTATAATATTGAGACAGTTGAATTAAGGGCATTTATCATAGTTACATAAAATAATTTCTAAGGACAACTGTGGGTATGTAGCTCCTGCTATGTTGTTGAGTACTGAGGGGTGGGGAAGGGGAGTGGTTAGGGAATCTGCAGACAGCCAGACACCATGTTGAGAGGAAGCCCAAGCCACTGAGGGGTGGGGAAGGGGAGTGGTTAGGGAATCTGCAGACAGCCTGCACCAGTCTAGCATGAAGGGAAGAAAGGAAGGGAGAGAGGGATGCTGGTCATCACAAGAGGCCCATCATCTGAGAATAAGTCCTATCTGCCAATGACTCCTCCATGAACATTCACCCAGTGGTCCCAGGTGCCGCTGTCTCCAGCTGCAGCTTCTATGAAGACATGAAGAGCTGTGGTTTGCCCATTTATTACCTATCTCAAAAACTGCCTCCCAGTTTTTCAGTTGGTCCTATTTCCTCATGAGCCCCAGTCTCCTAAAGTCACCAAGACATTGCCTCAAAATACCCACCCTAAATGTGTACAGGTTGTTTACTCTCCTGAACTAAGGTGTTAAGATCACTGCCAAAATTAAAAAAACACTTTCTGCTAAAATAATTCACTGCAAGGGAGCATAGCGTGGGTATGTGATGTTACAGGTCATGTGTCCTTTTTTGCCATTCACTTCCCATCACCAAGCTGGCACTTAAATGGCACTTACATATCTTGAGCGCCATCCCAAGCACTACAAATGTATGCAACCATTAAATCTTTGTGACAGCCCTATTAAGTAGGTACCGTGCTTATCCTTACTTTATAGATAAGTAAACTGAAGCAGGGAGAAGTTAAGCAACTGGCTCAAAATAATGCAGTGAACAGTCAGTGGAGCCCGAATTCAGACCCAGCTTTGGCTCCAGACAGAGCTTGTAGCCACTGCTCAAGAGCACTCACTGCATGCAGTTTGCTGTAGAGACAGCAATGAAGAGATCCTAGCCTCCTGCAGCTGGGGCGCTAGGAGGACACCTTTCTCATTCTCTAATCACTCTACAGCAAATGGCTCCAGATGCTGAAGGAAAGAGCTTGGGGATGTCAAGGAATGCCTCAGGCTCACCTCTGCATTTGCTCAAGACACACAATGGGCGCACACACATTTTTGTTGTTGAATTGAAAACCCAACCCAATATTTATTTCACAGCACAGACGTCTGAGGTCCCAGCAGTGAGTCTTGCCCAGAGTCACATAGGAGGCTGTGAGAGAGGAAGCTGGGTCCCTGGTCCTGATACCTTGTCCAAGGCTATTCTCATGGTGCCACAGTGCACAGGCTGCTGGGCCTCTGTAGGGGGAAGGGCAGAAGGGAAGGAAGAGAGGAAGGTGAAGAGGGCTCGAAAAGGGGAAGGGGTGGCAGGGCAGGAGGTCAGGCAAGTGCTGCTACCTGACATGGGTGGCGAGGACTTCTGTCATGCTTGTCGTCCTCTGGCACCGTTGGCACACCCTTCCTGTGCTTGCAGAATTTCTCTCCTAAGACAGATTGTATTTTCCAAAGATGGCCAAGCTGACTTTGATTGCACTCCTCTCATGGAAGGCTGGGCTCTATGTTCTGTGGCATTGAATCTGAGCAGTGGCTCAGACTGCTTTGACAGTGTGGGGACACATGAAAGCCATGTGACTTCCAAGACTAGGTCATTGTAGGACACTGCTTTCCTCAGCTTTCTCTCAGGATGTTTCCAGGGAGACCCAGACGCCATGGTGAGAGGAAGCCCAAGCCACATGGAGTGGCTGCATGTGTGGGTTTTCCAGCCATCAGCCCAGTTGAGGTCTTTGCAGACAGCCAGCAGCACCTGCCAGACACGTGAGTAAGTGGGTCTTCAGATGATTCTGGACCCCAGTCTTTGAGTCGTACAGCTGAGGTTCCAGTCATTATAGAGCAGAAGCAATTCATTCTCACTGTGCCCTGACTGAATTCCTCACCTACAGATACTGTCAGAGATACTGTGAGAGATCAAAGAGAATATTGCAGATTTAGATCAGGCAAGAGAAAGAAATAAAGAGCACACAAATAGGAAGAGAGGAAGTCAAACTATCCCTGTTTGCAGATGACATGATTCTATATCTAGAAAACCCCATAGTCTTGGCCCAAAACTCCTTCAGCTGATTAAACAACTTCAGCAAAGTTTCAGGATACAAAATCAATGTACAAAAATCACTAATATTCCTATACACCAACCACCATCAAGCCAAGAGCCAAATCAGGAATGCAATCCCATTCACAATTACCACAAAAAGAATGAAATGCCTAGGAATACAGCTAACCAGGAAGTGAAAGATCTCTACAATTAGAATTACAAAATGCTGCTCAGAGAAACCAGAGATAACACAAATGAAGAAACATCCCATGTTCATGGATAGGAAGAACCAGTATCATTAAAATGGTCGTACTGCTCAAAGCAATTTACAGATTCAATGCTATTCCTATCAAACTACCAATGACATTCTTTACAGAACTAAAAAAAATTATTTTAAAATTCATACGGAACCAAAAAAGAGCCTGAATAGCCAAGGCAATCCTAAGCAAAATGAACAACAGTAGTAGTATCACATTACCTGACTTCAAACTATACTACAGGGCTAGAGTATGGTACTGGTACAAAAAACTGATACATAGACCAATGGAACAGAACAAAGAGTCCAGACATAAGGCTGTACACCTATGGCCATAGGATCTTCAACAAAGCTGACAAAAACAAGCAATGGGGAAATGACTCCCTATTTAATAAATGGTGCTGGGATAACAGGCTAGCCACGTGCAGAAGATTGAAACTGAACACTTTTCTTACAGCATATATGAAAGTTAACTCAAGATGTCTTAAAGACTTAAATGTAAAACCCAAAAACTATAAAAACCTTGGAACATAACCTAGGCAATGCCATTCTGGTCATAGGAAAATTAAGAACTTCTGCAGAACAAAGGAACTATCAACAGAGTAAATAGACAACCTACAGAATGGGAGAAAATATATGCAAACTATGTATCTGACAAAGGTCTAATATTCAGCATCTATAAGGAACTTAAACAAATCTACAAGAGAAAAACAACCCCATTAAAAAGTGGGCAAAGGACATGAACAAACACTTTTCAAAAGAGATATAGATGCAGCCAACAGCCATATGAGAAGCTCAACGTCACTGATCATTAGTGAACTGCAAATCAAAACCACAATCAGACAACATCTCACACCAATCAGAATGGCTATTATTAAAAAGTCAAAAAAATAACATGTTGGCTAGGTTGTGAAGAAAAAGGAACACATACACTATTGGTGGGAGTGTAAATTAGTTCAACCATTGTGGAAAGCAGTATGGTGATTCCTCAGAGAGCTAAAAACAGAACTACCATTCAACCCAGCAATCCCATTACTGGGTATATATCCAGAGGAATATAAATAATTCTACCATAAAGACACATGCATGCAAATGTTCATTGCAGCACTATTCACAATAGCAAAGACATAGAATCAACCTAAGATGCCCATCTATGACAGATTGCATAAAGAAAATGTACATATACACCAAGGAATACTATGAAGCCATAACAAAGAATGAGGTCATGTCCTTTGCAGGAACATGGATGGAGCTGGAGGCCATTATCCTGAGCAAACTAACACAGGAACAGAAAACCAAATACCGCATGTTCTCACTTTTGGGTGGGAGCTAAATGGTGAGAACAGATGGACACAAAGAAGGGAACAACAGACACCGGGGTCTATTGGAGGGTGGAGGGTGGGAGGAGGGAGAGGAACAGAAAAAATAGCTATGGGGTGCTAGGCTTATGATATGGTTTGGCTGTTTCCCCAGCCAAATCTCAACTTGAATTGTACCTCTCAGAATTCCCACATGTTGTGGGAGGAACCCAGGGGGAGATAATTGAATCATGGGGGTCAGTCTTTTCTGTGCTGTTCTTGTGATAGTGATTAAGTCTCACAAGATCTGATGGGTTTATCAGGGGTTTCTGCTTTTGCTTCTTCCTAATTTTTCTCTTGCTGGCACCACATAAGAAGTGCCTTTCACCTCCCACAATGATTCTGAGACCTCCCCAGCCATGTGGGAGGTCCCCAGCCATAAGTCCAATTAAACCTCTTTTTCTCCCCAGTCTTGGGTATGTCTTTATCAGCAGCATGTAAATGGACTGATACAGCTTAGTACCTGGATGATGAAATAATCCGTACAACAAATCCCTGTGACACAAGTTTACCTAGATAACAAACCTGAACATGTTCCTCTGAACCTAAAATAAAAGTTAAAAAAATTTAAAAAATATACTGCTGATTTAGGCCATTATATTTTGGGGTAATTTGCAATACAGCAATAGGTAACCAACACAGCTTATCGTAATCCTTGCTTCCTTGAAGCCAGAAACTTGCTTTCTCAGACTCCCTTGCAGCTAGGCACAGGCGTGTGACCTGGTCTCAGCCCATCAGACACCCCAGAACAGATGTGTAGTCTGGAAGAGGGAAGCCCAAGGAGAGATCCTTCTTGTGAGTAGGTGGGGAGCCAGCCAGCTTCCAGAGACAGCAGCAGCTAAGGTCCCCATGGGACTTTCGAGCCAGGGTTGCTGGTTCTGTCTAGAGTGCTTGTACCTGGCTAAAGGTGGTGTCTTCCCTGGGGTGGTTCAGTGGTATAATCTTAATTATACCACTCAGATTATGTGAGTGTCATTCTAGGCTGTGTAGCTTCCTAGTTAAATTCCTGACCCTCCTAGAGATTCTTCAGGAGACATCTCTACATTCCTTTTGGTTGAGCTGGGTTGAACTCTGTTGTTGGTAAGCAAGGACTCTGACTTACACACCTGTAAGCCAGTTTAGACTGCCCTTGCTAAGAATAGTGGCTGACACAGAGTGCACACTCCAGACATTTTTGTTGTTGTTATTTACTGTTCAGTGTTCCCTAACTCATGGACCCTCCTGCTCCTCTTATTGTCTCAAAGTCTTCACTTCAGTGACCATCCCATTTTGCTGTTTTCCATACAGACCTAACTCAGGATGGTAAGTAGATTTTATCTCTTCACCAAATTGGGTCAATTAGTGGAAGCTGCCAGTAGAGAAGCACTGTGTTAAGGATTGGTGTTGGCTTAGAGGAGAGTGTGGTCATCGATGAAGAATGTCTGCTCTAAGTGCAGGGGGCGGGGTTTGGCATTTCAAATACCTTGCTGTCTTTGACTTAACTTCAAGGAGTCTGGGGCAAAGTAATTTGGTGAAACTAATTCACATAAAAATTTAACATGTAGTTCCCTAGGAGCATTTATATTTTAAAATAATACACCTTGTATTAGTTAGAACACTGGTCCTTTAACAGAAAGCCATCCGGAGGATCAAGTCAGAAGCTTCTCTTCTATGGTATATGACATGCAGTTAACTCATGGCTTCCATGGTGGCTCCAGCTGCTGCCTTTTCCAGAATCTGGAAGTGACTGTAACTGAATGACCTGGAAGTTACACACACCACCTTTACTCATATCCCATTGCACAGTAGTTCCAAGGGGCCCAGGAAATGTAGTCTTCAGCTAGATAGTGTGCGTCCAGATTAGAACCACTAGAAACAAACAGGGACATATGGACACTGGGGACCAGTTAGGAGTCTTTACTACATGCACTTTCCTAAGTGGATCACAACAGCTCAATTCTGGAGAGTGAAACTATAAAATCAAGGATTTCAGATTCTGCATGGATGTATGTGATCTTTATTAGGCTTTTCCTCTAGCCTGAACCTGGGTAATCTTCCACTCTGCCCTTCTGACTGGCACACAGGTTCCTGCCCGTATAAATTAACACCATCTTGCAATTCTTTGGGGGTATAAGCTATTTTCTCTTGGGTTAGACATGGCCTTTGTCCCCTTAGGGTGTGCTGGGCTCTGGTTTGCTGGGCATGAGAGGTATTGGGTGAGTGTTGAGGAGAACCAGTGTTCCCTTGCAAGGCAGCTTCTAGGTGAGAGCAGTATGAGGGCTTCAGGCAAAGGGAGTCCAGTCTCCCAGCCAGGCCAAGAGAAATGACTTCTATGGGTGAGGGAGGCAAAGGGTGTGAGGGGTGTAGGTTCTCAAAGGTTTCTGAGTCAACCCAAATGGACTCATTTCAGTTTTCAGGGTCTGATTTATTTCCAGTCTGTGTTCTGACTCTCACATTGGAGGGTTGGCATGACTGCGAATTCAATGCATTTTGTAATTCTGCAACCTCAACAGCCAAATTTTTGGACTGATTTTCAGCAGTATCAGTCCTTCAGCTAGAAGAGCTTTGGTAATCTTTTAGGGCTTTCATGGTGTTTTTCACCTGTTCTGACTCTTTCTAATTATTTATTGGCTCTCTTATGGTTGCAAGATGACTTCCATACATCAACAATTACAGCTGTTCTTCCCTTGTGCCTTTTAAAAATATATAATTTTTTTAAAATTGGCAAACAAAAATTGTTTCTCTGACTCTTGGTGAGGTTTTCAACCTTGGAGCTTGTCCTTTCCATGGCACTCAGAAGCAGCCCAATCCCCGCTTTCCCCTTCTTATCATCCTTGCTTCCATAATGGTCAAGTTCAGTAGCAACTTGCTCCCCTAGAGCTTTCCTTTCCCTATGTGCTTTGCCTCAGGCAACCACAGCTGGTGATAATTGTGGAATTATCATGCTATGACTTTACACTCACTACTGTTTTTCCCATTTTCCACTGACTCCAACACCATTACTGAGTTCAGGGTCAAAGTCGATTAATAACTCAATCTTTAAACCCACTTCTGGCACAGAGCCCTAAGTTAATATGCTAAGTGTTTCAACGGAAGGGTTGTTTTTGTGGTTGTTGTTGTTGTTTTTAAGAGACAGGGTCGGCTGGGCACAGTGGCTCATGCCTATAATCCCAGCACTTTGGGAGGCTGAGGCGGGTGGATCATGTGAGGTCAGGAGTTTGAGACCAGCATGGCCAACATGGTGAAACCCCATCTCTACTTAAAAAAAGTACAAAAATTAGCCGGGCGTGGTGGCACATGCCTGTAATCTCAGCTACTCGGGAGGCTGAGGCAGGAGAATTGCTTGAACCTGGGAGGCAGAAGTTGCAGTGAGCCAAGATCATGCCATTGCACTCCATCCTGGGCAACAGAGTGAGTTTCACCTGTTCTCACTCTTTTTAATTTGAAAATTAAAAAAAAAAAAAAAGAGAGAGAGAGAGACAGGGTCTTGCTTTCTTGCCCAGACTGGAGTGCAGTGGCACCATCATAGCTCACTACAGCCTGGGCTCAAGCAATCCTCCTGTCTCAGCCTCCTGAATAGCTGGAACTACAGCCTCAAGCCACCATGCTCAGCTAATAGAAAACATTTAATTCAGATAATTGGTTATAAAGATGAGGAAATGTTTAAGGAACAGAAGAAGAAATGGGGCATTAGCCTAAGGCTTCGGAGCATGAGCTTACCCCTGGAGCTGTGCTGCTTTGATATTAGCATGGCTGCAGAGGTGTTGTCAACATGGACTGCTCAAATCCACAGTGGCTTCACCTCCATGGTCATGGCAGCAACTGCCAGAAGCTGGCGTAACATCATAACTCGTTTGTGAATTTTGACCTCCAAATGTCCAGTGTTCAAATCCAACACAGTGGGTTTGTAGACTGCCTGGAACCGTCTTTGTGAAAATCTCTGAACGATTCCTCTTGGCCTATACTGTACTTAGCTTTTGCAGCAGAGAAGGAACCTGAGATGGCTTTTGTAATTATGGAGTATAGATTTTCTCTGGCAGTTGAAGGAATTCTTGAGTGATGAAATGAGTCATGCATTCCTTTCTGAAGAAGAAACTGCTTGGTCCTAAAGAGATTTCCAGAGATAATAATCTAATTTTTCCTGTCCCTTTCATCTTTGCTTGAGGCAAAGGCAGTTACTTTCTGGTTGTGTGGAAGTGTAAAATGACAGCTGATATTGCATGTCAAGGTAGCGTCTGTATTCAATGCTACCTTAAATATTAGGTCTAAATATAGGTCCAAATATAGTATTCTGAGAAAGAAAAAGTCAATTCTGTTTCCTGACATGGCTGTGGGGTGGTGAGTGAAATAGTATAATTAGTCGAAATTGAGAACATGTATTATATTTATAGTAAGCATTTTTAAAGCATTAGAATGTAATGAAATCTTTTGAATCTTTTTGCCAGCAGTTTATGACAGTAAATGCCTTCTTGCTCCCATGTCAACCTAGAAAAATATAATTAGGCTGGGTGCAGTGGCTCACGCCTGCAATCCCAGCACTTTGGGAGGCCAAGGCAGGCAGATCACTTGAGGCCAGGAGTTCGAGACCAGCCTGGACAACATGATGAAACCCCATCTCTACTAAAAATACAAAAAATTAACAAGGCATGTTGGCGTGCACCTGTAGTCTCAGTTACTTGGGAGGCTGAGGCAAGAGAATTGCTTGAACACGGTAGGTGGAGGTTGCAGTGAATTGAGATTGCACCACTGGGCACTCCAGCATGGGCAACAGAGTGAGACTCCATCTCAAAAAGAAAAAAAGATAGTATCTGATTTTAAAAACTATTTAAATAGAGAATTAATTTACATACAGTGAAGTGCACACATCTTAGTTGTACAACTCAGTGGGTTTTAAAAAATGGTTCTTACCCATGTAACTTACCCCAATTAAGACATGGGATATTTCCATCACTCTAGAAAGTTCCCCCATGTTCCTTTCTGGTCATGCTCACCCCACCCCTCCACCAGAGGCACCCTCTGTTTTGATTTGTCTCATCAAAAACTAGTTTTGCTTATCTCTGAACTTTGCATGAATGGAATGATAAAGTACGTACTCTTATATCTGGCCTCCATTAATCCACATATAATCTCATGGTGAGATTGGCCCATGCTGTTGCATAGGTCAGTAGTTTGTTTTTATTGGCCAGTAGTATTTATTGTATGGATATTCCACCATCTGTTTATCCATCCTCCTTTTGGAAAGCATTTGGGTTGCTTTGGTTCTGACCATTGTGCAGATGAACAATGAACACTTGTGTGCAAGTCTTTGTAGACCCTTATTTTCATCTGCTTTGGGTAAATGCCAAGGAGTGGACTTATTGCATCAAAGGCTAAGTATATGTTTAAATCTATAAGAAACTCCCCAACTCTTTTCTAAGCTGGCTTTACCATTTTACACTCCCGCCTGTAAAACTTAGAAAATGAGAAGAACCACCAGTGGACCTGGAATTGGGAGAAATCCCTGAAAGACGATGGTAGATAGAAGCAGATGGGCAGACAGGGTAGCCCAGAATATCCACAGCAGGTGTGTCCTGCCACAGAGCTTGGAGCTGTTGCAGAGGAAGCAGGAATGAAGAGCAGAGCACGGACCGCAGATCCTCATGACGGTGAACCTGGCTGTGCCAGCAGGAGGCAGCATTGGGAGAAGCACCCAGGCTCAGGACAAAAGCTGGATGCAGCCAGGGACCCCACAGGATGAGCTGGGAGCTGGTCACCTTGATGACAAGTACGAATTCCTTCCTTCTGGAAGTGTGTACCTCATTCTCAATCAAACGTTTGACGAAAAGCAAACTTAAGCAAAGAATTAACACCCGAGGAAACAAAGTTAAAAGAATGAAAGAGAGAGAGAGAGAGAGAGAGAGAGAGAGAAATATATAATGAATGTCTTCAAGAGAGATATGAGATAAATGTAGTCTCTCTCAGTGCATAGATTTCTGAATTCATTCTTACTGAATGATAGAATATGTGCATAAATAAATTAGTCCAGAAATGGATAGATATTTAGATGGAAAAGCTTGTGCCCTAATCAAAGCAATCTCCGTTGGTGATACCGCCTTTCCAGAAACGTATTTGTGCAGCTTTTCTCGTGCGGATCCAGGTGCTACAGATAAGGAGGAAGAACATTTCAGGCAGCTGGCTCTGGCAAAGTCCCACGTTGCTTTGAGAGATGTGACTGCACAGACAGTGAGGCAATACGTGGAAGAGAAACCACCACTGATTGGTCCCCAAGGTGGAAGGAGTCGTGACTGCAGCAAAGACCGTGACGACGACGCATCTGCCCTGAGCTCAGAATCCCTGATGCGGGGCTCAGGGAAGGGTTTCATCATTAGCGTGTGAGATACATTCATCCACAGGAGAGCCCTGGCACAGACTTCTTTCAAATGCAAGGAACAGGCTGCAGTTAGAAAAGAATAAATGATATTTTAGCTTAATTTAGGTTACTTACTAGGAAAAAAAAGATAGGAAAAACTGAATGTTTCAAACATGATAGCGATTTCAATGGAATGCAGAGTAATAACTAAGGAGTGTGCTCTTCCCATCCCATCATGGCTTTAGGATCTGATACCATTCCGAGTTGCAAGAGTATTAATTTAGCTGAAAGAAAGCTAGATATAGGGGATGGTAGGCACTGCTGATTAGGGACTCTAGATATTTATTTTAGGGTCAGTGATATTTTTGGTCTGAGTTGTCCTTATACCTCTATACCCGTATTTGTGTTTCACTTTGTCTTTCGTTTAAAACGTACATTTTAATTATAACTATTTCTGCAAAAAGTGTATGTGTTTTGGACGCATGAGATATGTGGGTGGGCTTTCACACACACAGGCACAATCACGAGAAAAATCTATAGTACTTTACTAGAAGTAAATCAACTGTTTTTGAAAATGTCTAAAACGTCCCATTTTCACATTGGAAAAGGTGGTCTGCTTCAGTGCACGCTGATACTGTGACGTTCCTTTCCTCTTTGTCTCTGGTTGCATCTTTATTGAAATCAGCTCATGAGACAACAAGCAACTAGATTGGCCTGTTTGTTGCTCTCTGGGTACCCAAGGAGAGATACTGTGGTTTTACCATCTGATCATGGTCCTCCCATCCCATAGAGCTTCCCGGTCCTCCCTGGGATGTCACACTTGCTCATGTGAGTCACACTCCAGATCTTCCCTGTGTGTTCTCTCTTAGCATAAAATACCACCAGGGCAGCATTAACCCTTTCTGTCAAGAGGGTGGGTGATGGGTGAGTGAACGACAGAGTAACTGCTCTTTGACCCTGAAAGAGTTCAAGTTTTACACGTTATTTACCCTTCCTATGTGCATAGCACTGGGATATTTTCTCATTTCTCCTATCTAATCCAGTCTAGGGTATTCTAGTATTTCATTTTTTAGAAAATGCTAAATTGGGCCGGGCACAGTGGCTCATGCCTGTAATCCCATCATTTTGGGAGGCCAAGGCAGGTGGATCACTTGAGGTCAGGAGTTTGTGACCAGCCTGGCCAACATGGTGAAACCCCAACTCTACTAAAAATACAAAAATTAGCCAGGCATCATGGCGCATGCCTGTAATCCCAGCTACTCAGGAGGCTGAGGCAGGAGAATTGCTTGAACCCTGGAGGCAGAGGTTGCAGTGAGCCAAGATGGTACCACTGCACTCCAGCCTGGGCGACAGAGCTAGACTCCATCTGAAAAAAAAAAAAAAGCTAAATTGATTTCACTTCTTTCGAATAGGCTTTGATTTGCAGTGTTAAAATTCTACTGTATATCATCTTCTACTGATAAAATAGAACCTTCTCTCCCTCCACACACCACAAAATATTTGTTTCATCGAAAGCTTTGCTAGGCAGGAAAGCGGTATTCTGGGCTATGACTGGAACACTCGAGATGAAGCCATCTTTTAAAGAAAGGGAGTGGACCTAGTACAACTTCAGGAGTCATCACCCTCAGTTATTCCTAAACCGTTCGGAGCCTGCCCGCTCCTTGCCCACTGGGGTGTGAGCCAGCCTGGAGCTCACCCAGTCCTAACCCACCCTGTGGGCATGTGTGGGCAGAACAGGCAGAAAACTTTATTTTGCGCCTTGCATTCACAAGTAGCTACAGAAAAGCTTATAATACTTCTCTCTGAGTCTTATCACTTTGCAATCTCATCTTTTCTGAGAAAATATTCTATTTTTTAAGTGCTGCTTTTTTGCCTAGGCTGGCAATTTTTTTGAAGAGAGATTTATTCAGAGTTAGCCTCTGCAGAATAAAAAATTAGGCAATTTAAAAAGATAGATATTACTTTCTCAAAACAGATAAGACACAAGTTGTACATATATATATTTTAAAAGCAATTACCATCTGCCCGATAGAGAAGAATAACTCTGTTAGAATTGAGGTTTATTGTGTAGTTTTATAATTAGGATGCCTCTGAACAGGATAATATCCTTATCAGAATTCATGAGGAATGCCTTCTAATATTTTCCTTTTATTTTCGAACTCATTATGTAAACAGCCCTTTGGTTTTCAGCTAGAGGAATTTAGAATATAGAAGGTTTTCTTGCAGGGCAGAGCATTTGCAAAGATATATATATTTTCTAAAGGGTTTCGAGAGGTGGAGGAGCTACTCGAGTAAGCTGAGAGTCAGGTCCTTTTTGATCGATATCACTCATGTCACTCTCGTCAAGGGTGCGTGCTGAACTAGCTGTTGACTCCTAACCCCGAAGCCAGCTCCTGGCTGCATGAGATGAGGGTGGGACCCACTGGCAAGGCTGCTCTGTGCTCCCCAGTGTCCCTCCCTCCTGCAGGGCTCCCCACATTTGGTTTTGCTTGTCCCCGGACCACTTATGTGCTCTGATCTGGGACATGGTCACTCTCGTGCCACCAGTCAAGAGCCTCTCTTGTCCCTGAGACGCCCTTGCCTCCCCTTCCTCAGTTATCTGTGGTCTCCCAGGAGTGTGGGATTATTTGGATCATTCAACTGGGTTTAAATGAGCGTGGGCTGGGGGTAATGAAAATGCTGTGTCCCCCCAAGACACACACACAGAATGTCCCCTGTTCAGGGCTAAATTGTGCCTCCTCTAAATTCATATATTGACGCCCTAACCTCCAGTGCTTCAGAAGGTGACTGCACTTGGAGATAGGGCCTTTAAAGAAGTAATTGAGGTTAAACAAGGTCATTGGGGTGGACTCTAACCCAGTGTGACTGGTGTCCTTATCATAAGAGGTAATTAGGAGGACATAGGAGGACACTAAGGAGAGAGGCCTCAGAAAAAGCCAACCCTGCCAATGTCTTGACTTGGACTTTCAGCTTTCAGAATGGTGAGACAATCAATTTCTGCAGTTGAAGCCCCCAGTCTGTGGTACTTTATTATGGCAGCCCTAGCAGACTAACACACCCCTCCTCCAGGAATCTGTTAACCCAAGTGGCATTTCACACAACACAAAGGGGAGATATCTTTGAGCAAAGCTTCCTTGCCAAGTCTAGATGGCAGTGGCTTCTATTTTCAGCCTCCCTCCCTAAGCTAGTTGTAGTTGATAACATAAAACACAGCAGACCCTGACTTTGGGAAAGGCTGTGTCCCCAAGGCTCGCTTTTAAGTCTGTTAGAAAACAAACCGTGTTTGTCCTAAAAATGCTATTATGCGCAGCAATTAGGTCCCCAAACCACTGCACAGTGGCTTTTAAAATCCTAATATATAGAATTATTTCCTGGCTGGTCTATGTCCTCTCTCACAACCCATCTGACACACAGACTTAGTCCCCACCCACAGAAGGCTACATTGCTTTCTGTTTTGCTGGTACACCTGGGGCTTTTCCTGGGCTCATCCAGCACAAGGTGCTGGGATCTGGGATGGTGTGGGAGGGGGCGTCCTTAAAGTCTTTCTCCATTCCTGTGTTTGAAGACTTTCATGTAATAGCTGGCTTTGCTTACTCTTTCCTGCCAAGTAGGTTATAAACAGCCTGTAACACAGGGTTCTTGCCTTCTCCTCTTCTGCACCCCTTAATGGCCAGCAAAGCCTGGCACCTGTAGGGGCTTGAAAATGACCTCTGAGATTGTGCAGATGGAGGAAGCTGTGGTCTCAGTGGAGGATGTTGGGGACCCAATGGGAGGGGGCATGGCCTCCCCTTCCTTTCCCTGTCCCTCCCCTCCCAGATAGGCGTTGGGGAATTGAACCTGGGGAGGTAGAAAGGTCTTCCCTCCCCTGTCCTTCCCTCTGTCTTATTGAAGGTGGAAGGGTCAGGCCCCAAGGGCCCTGGGAGAGGACAGCAAGAAAGGAGGGCAAATTCAGGAAGGGAGTGGCCCTGGGCTGTGGCCGGCCACTTGCCAGCATGAAGAGTCAGCTTTGCTCCTCCATCTCCTAGGTGGAAGAGCCTCAGAATGCATCTAGTCCATCCCTGGATTCAGGGACGGGCTCCTAAGTGGCAACACTGTCACAGAAAGACTTCACAGGTGGCAGCAAAATCAGATCCAAAGACTTCTGGGTCCCGGCAGGCTCCTAAGCCTGGGGCCCTACTGCTTGGCCGGTTCCCCAGCTCCTCTGTGTCCCCACTGGCCCTGGGCCTGGGAACTTCTCCAAGGGAAGGCAGAGCAGTGATGAGCTAGCTCAGGCTGGGAACCAGAAAGGTCTATTTTTAAAAGTCATACACAGAAGCCGAGTCTGTGACATAGAACAAGTCTGCGTACAAACAGAAAATGCGACCCATCTTGTGACGACTTTCAAACGTCACAGAGTCCTAAGTCATGATGACATACAAAAGGAATGTTTCTTAAAGGTCTAGGATCTGTTGAGTTTTATACAATAATAAAATTTGGAAATATTCAAATTTGAGAACAGTTTATTAAAATATCCACATTTGAAAATAGTGTCAAATTAGAAATACAAGTATATGACAAATTGCCTAATATCACTAATCATGAGGGAAATGCAAATCAAAGCCACAGTGAGGTCTCATCTCATGCCAGTTAGAATGGTTATTATCGAAAAGGCAAAAATGAACGAATTCTGACGAGGCTGCTGAGGAGAGGGAATTCCCACATGGGGTGTGGGAATGTAAACTAGCACAGCCATTTTGGGGAACAGTATGGAGGCTCCTCAAAACACTGCAAATAGGAATGTCACATGATCCAGCAACCCCACTAGTGGGCATTTGCCCAAAGGAAAGGACATCAGTATATCCAAGAGACATCGCACCCTCATGTTTACTGCAGCACTTTCCACACTTTCCAAGATATGGAATCCACCTAGATGTCCAACAACAAATGCATGGATAAAGAAAATGTGGTATATATATACACCATGGACTCCTATTCAGCTCTAAAAAAGAATGAAATTGGGAGGCCGAGGCAGGCGGATCACCTGAGGCCAGGAGTTTGAGACCAGCCTGGGCAACATGGTGAAACCCCATCTCTACTAAAAATACAAAAAATTAGCCAGGTGTGGTGGCAGGTGCCTGTAGTCCTAGCTACTCAGGAGGCTGAGGTAGGAGAATCTCTTGAACCTGGGAGGTGGAGGTTGCAGTGAGCTGAGAGCACCCCAGTGCACTCCAGCCTGAGGGACAGAGCAAGATTCTGTCTAAATAAAAAAGAATGAAATTCTGTCATTTGTGGCTACATGGATGGAACCAGAAAATGTTATGTTAAGTAAAATAAACCAGGAACACAAAGTTAAACATCACCTGTTCTCACTCATATGTGGAAGCTTAAAAAAGTTGATCTCATAGAACTGAAAAGTAGAACAGAGGATAGTAGAGGTTGGGAGGGGAGGGCAGATAGGGAGAGATTTGTTAAAGGATACAAAGTTACAGGTAGATAGATAGGAGGAATAAGTCCTAGTGTTCTAGACCAGTAGTCCCCAAACTTTTTGGCAGCAGGGATTGGTTTTGTGTAAGATGATTTTTTCATGGGCAAAGGTTGGGGGTGGGGGGGTGGTTTCTGGATGAAACTGTTCCACCTCAGATCATCAGGCATTAGATTCTCATAAGGAGTGTTCAACCTAGATTGCTGGCATGCACAGTTCACAATAGGGTTCACACTCCTTAGAGAATCTAATGCTGTGGCAGATCTGATAGGAGGTGGAGCTCAGGCAGCAATGCTTGCTGGCTTGCCACTCACCTCCTGCTGTGCAACCGGTTCCTAACAGGCCAGGGTGCTGATCCATGGTCCGGGGGTTGGGGACCCTGTTCTATACCATTGTGAGATGACTGTGGTTAACAATAATATATAGTTCCAAACAGCTAGAAGGAGGATATTGAATGTTTCCAACACACAAAAAAAGTGCTAAATGTGTGTGATGCTGGGTATGCTGATCACCCTGATATGATTACTATACATTACATATATTGAAACATACAATTTTATGAAATTCAGCAAACCCTACGACCCATAAACATGTACAATTGTTACATGTCAATTAAAAATGAATAAATAAGGAAAGTCTTGAAAACAAGCCTGAAAGTATTACCGTGTCTTAAGGAAAGCTCTGCGAAATGGCGGGTGAGACTCGTTGATTTATTCTGAAGTGCAACTCCTCAACATCCTACTGCCTCCTAAACTGAACTCATCTGATATCAGTTTACTCTCCCTCCCTCTCTCCCTCTCTCCTCCTCCCTTTCTTTCTCTGTCTTTCTCTCTTTCTTCTCAGACAAGAACATCCGAATGGGTAAATTGTCAAGCCTGGGAAAGTCCATGACCCACTCAACCAACTTTTGTCTTTGACCACCTCACCAAGATTTTTCAGACTACAAGGACAAGCAATTGTTGATTGATGATTGAAGATGAGACACAGTGTTAGGCCTAGTCTCAAGGGGGTTTCCAGAAAGATGCGATTGTCCTTTCAGGTGGCAGTTGCATAAATGTGCTCCAGACAGCCTACTTTCCCATGAGAATGGCATGGAAGCATTGTTCATGAACTCATGCAGCATCTTGCGGCTGAAATGTATTCTTAGCTTGCGTTGACTTTTGTTGATTATGGAGTCCTGCAGGTTTGCTCACAGTGGTGGGGCTGCTCTTCCTTCTGCCTTAGGCTTGCATCTCCCATGCTCTGGCGAAGCTGTTGTATTTCAGTAGAGATTTTGGTGAGTGGTCTCTGTTGGGTTGATTTTCCGGGCACCACCAACAGAATTACTTAATTGGGAGCAAGTTATTTAACTTCTGTGAAATTTGTGTTCTCATTGATAAAATGAGGATAGTACCTTCTCATAATGATTGCCAGATTAGATGTAGCATTTCCAGAATTCCTAGCACATGAGTCACTCAAATATCTGTGATCTGAAAGACATCAGTAATGGTTCCCTTCAGCTTCATTTTCATCTCAGGTGTCTACAGCATCGTGATTCAACTGGGGAATTTTCGACTTTGGCACTACCAACATTTTGGGCCGAGTGAGTCTTGGTGGTGGGGGTTGTCCTGCACATCCTAGGATGTTGAGCAGCATCTCTGGCTTCTACTGTCTGGATACCAGGAGCAACCCCTATGCCAGGTGTGGTGGTAAAAAATGTCTGCAGACATTGCCTAGCATTCCTGTGGGGGCAAAATCACCCCTGGCTGAGAACCACTAATTTAACCTAAAAGGATAGAGTTTCTAGTTATGAACTTCAGGCTCAAAGTGAGTTTGGAGGATTCTCCAGATGCCACCCTACAGCTTTCTGACATGTCTCTAAGGCATGTTAACACAACTCAGCCTCCCTAGTAGTTGGGATTATGGGCACGTACCACCACACCTGGCTAATTTTTGCATTTTTTGCAGAGACCGGGCTGGCCTTTAACTCCTTGGCTCAAGTGATCTGGCCACCTCAGCCTCCCAGAATGCTGGAGTGTACCCAGGTTGTCTGTGCAAAGAGAGGAATAGGCACTTGAACAGAAAAGAGATGCTGCTCAGAACTATTTAGGGACTGAATAGTGTTGTTAGAAATCTGAGTAAAAGGATGTGGTTTTGAGGCTATGACTACCCCTAAAGAAGATAATTGGTACTAGGAATTTGCCGTGTCCTTAAATCCTGTGACCATCCTTAATTTTCTGTCTGCTTCCAGAGAAATGTTGGAATAATTTTATGAACAGTGGTTGTACCAAGCATGATAAACTTTATTTCATTTTTTTGAGTTGGAGTTTCACTCTGTCACCCAGGCTGGAGTGCAATGATGCGATCTCGGCTCACTGCAACATCCGCCTCCCGGGTCAAGCGATTCTCCTGTGTCAACCTCCGGAGTAGCTGGGATTACAGGTGTGCACCAGCACGCTTGGTTAGCTTTTCTATCTTTAGTATAGATGGGGTTTCACCACATTGGCCAGGCTGGTCTTGAACTCCTGACCTCAGGTGATCCACCTTCCTCGGCCTCCCAAAGTGCTGGGATTACAGGCGTGAGCCACCGCATCAGGCCATAAACTTTATAGTGCTTCTACATTACAAATGTCATTTGATTCAATATCTATGTCTACACATCAATAGATGCATTCATGCTTCCACCTATTCATTTATTCTTCCATCCATTCATCTATTCATCTGTCAAAGCCCCTTAGAGGTAACCTATCTCAAAAGGCAAAAGGCTAAATGTTTTAGTCTAGTGCAGAGAGAATCAGGATCTCCAGTATGATATGCTTTTAAAGATTATATATATGCATATATACACACACACATATAGGTATATATATTTAAGTATACATATATATGTAACATATAAATATTTTTAATATATGATATGCATATATATTAATACATATGTTATCATAAATGACATAATTAGAATCAGGTACTCTAGGTGTATGTTCTCCAGTAAAAATGGCATCAGGCATAGAACTTGCATATGTTAGTGAGAGGGAAGACAATTTCTGTTCTCAAGGACATTTTAATCCAGTGAAGCATAGCATATGAATTAACAGAGTATATTTTTAAGAAAAAAGTAGCAGGAAATAAGAACATTATTATTATTATTAGCATTGTTATTATTTGAGACAGTGTCTCTCTCTGTCACCCAGGCTGGAGTGTAGTGGCACCATCATAGCTCCCTGCAGCCTCGACCTCCTGGGCTCAAGCAATCCTCCCACCTCAGCCTCCTTAGTAGCTGGGATTATAGGCATGCACCACCACGACTGGGTAATTTTTGTATTTTTTGCAGAGACAAGGTTTCACTATGTTACCCAGGCTGGTCTTGAATTCCTTAGTTCAAGCACTCTGTCCACCTCAGCCTCTCAAACTGCTGGTATTACAGACATGAGCCAGTGTACCCCACCAAGATTACATTATTAAATATGTATTTTCTTGTGAAGGAGAAAGATGGCTTGGTAATTGGGAGACTGTTATTTTCCTTATGAAAACTTATTTCTCTGTGCTCTTTGAGTCAGTGATTTCCTTTTGCTGAGTCTCAGTTTACTCACTTTTAAGATGTTTTCATTTCTATCTATTGGAAGTTCTTGCTAGAGCTTATTCCACGAGAAATTTGGGACTCCTCCATTGGCTGATATCACCTAGTCGATTCCTGTTTTCCTCCTTTACTTACACATTTTCAAAACTAGTTCTTAATCTCTTGCTTGTCCGAAGGAGGTTTTTCCTACTGTGTAAATGTTTGAGTCTAGCTGGTTGATTTTTATGAGCTGTTTGCCTGAAGCTTGACAAATAAGCCATCATTTAACCAGGGCTTTTACTTTATGAAGAATGAGAAAAGTTAAGCTGCAGTACTGCCAAATTTGATCCACAGCACGCTCGATGTCACAGGTACACTTACAGATGTTTTTATTGGAAACCCCCTTTTATTTGCCAGTTTTCATCCGTTTCCCATCTTTACAAGTTGTAGCTTATGTCTGCAACTCTCCGGATTTCATCTATTTCCAAAGTCAAATGATTTTTCATTTATTTGAATCAAATGAGGTCTGCTGTTAGTCAATTTTGCAGGTGTGAAAAAGATATTGTTCATTTTTTTCTACAGCATTTCCCTTTACTGTCAAATGACAGATTCTAGCAAATCAAAATTTGACGGGAAAGCAGTCTTTGTATTTACATACTCAGAATAAGCAATAAGCAGGTAACTTTTAAAACTCTTCCTTTTAACCTAAGAATTTAACTCTTCCTTTTAACCTGACTAATAAATAAAAGTTTCATTCATTCACTCTTCATTTATTTAATTAACATTTGTTGAATATGATAGACTTTGCTAGGCTTTGATAGAAAAAGAAAGCAAAGAAGGAAGGAAGGAAAGAAGAAAGAGAAGGAAGGAAGGAAAGAAGAAAGAGAAGGAAGGAAGGAAGAAAGGAGAAGGAAGGAGGGAAAGAAAGGAAGAAGAGAAAGAAAGAAGGAGAAAAAGAAAGAAAGAAAAGAAAGAAAGAAAGAAAAAGAAAGAGAGAAAAGAAAAGAAAAGGAAGAAAAAGAGAAGAGAGAGAAAAGGAGAAAGAGAGAGAAGGAAGGGAGGAAGGGAGGAAAGGAGGGAAGGAGTAAAACACACCATCAGGGTTTTCCAGGCCTATCTTCTGGTTCTACCATTCTTGCCCTGGGCACACACAGACTCACCTGCACAGGGGTGTGGGGCTGTCTTGGAAAAAACTGGTGCTTGGCTCCCTGAGGGCCAATGAACTAGAACCTCTTGGGTGAGACTCAGACATGGGTAATTTGAAAATCTCCCAGGTGTAAAGTATGCAAGGTTGGGATTGCTGGCCTAGTTAGACAGGTGGGTAAACAGATCTCCCATGTGATGCGCTGAGTGCCCTAACAGAGGCTAGTGCCAGTGCCAGGATGGAGGGCACCTTGGTTCTGCCTGGTAGACAGCACACCCCGTAAGAGGCTGGGCTGGACGGGGAGGAGGAGCCCCTCACAGCTGTGCACGAATGCCTGGTTCTTGGGAGCACAGCAGCCTTCCAAACGCATTCCTGCTGGGTGAGGCCCACGCTGTGGTGCTGTGGACAGTGTCCTAAATGGCCAGTGTGGCCGATGTGAGTGGCCCAGGTGGATGGTGCTCCCCTCTAGGGCCACACACTGACTGTGGATCCCCCAAGGGACACTGAGGACAGACTCAGACTCTGAGAGGGGGGCGACCTTGGTACAACAATCCCATAAGATGAAGGTGCTGGCCTGTCACCTGTGGGTCACTCCCTGGTCTGCATTCTCCACTATGATGAGTAAGAAACACATCCTCCTGGATGAGGACCGAGGGCATATCACCAGACGGATTTGCCCAGCCGGGACAACATAGCATGATGCCCCCCTCTGCCCCAGCGATCCCAGACTGGAGGCAGAGATTCCATCAGGAAAAAGGGACTGCAGAGATGGCACCCCTGGTGACTCGTAGAGTTAAACAGAGTTAATCAGACTTCCTTCCTTCCTGTGTTTTTCCTCTAGATGGAAACCTTTTAAAGTTTCAATTCATTATTAAAGAATGCTGACAGATCTGCCCTTGCTCCATAAAACCAACCCTTCCTAGCACACGGCAGGGTCCCAAGTATTCCAAAGGGTGTCTGGTGGGACTGAGAAGCGTGACTGCAGGTGATTGTTTATAGCTGGCTTTAGTTTTTGCCTGTGTTCTCTGTGGCCCTCTCTAAGTTCCTCCTTGGCCTTTAGAGTGTGGTACATATTCACTTTCATGCCCATATCACCTCTCTCTGGTGAGTGCTTTTATTTGAACAGAGGAAGTTGGGCCAGGCAGAAACTCAGCACCATTCAGGTCAGCAGTGACTCAGGAGGAGCCCTGAGGGACAATGAGCTGGGGCCACGGAGTCCAAGCGCACGAGGCTGGCACTCTGGCCATCACCCGTGCCTCCCACAGCCCTGCCATGGCCTGGGTCCCACATTCCTCCCTCGGAGACTCCTTGTCCCCTTGCACAAATGTGCCTATTAAATTCCCAGCTCCTGGCCATGTGTGGTGGCTCTCGCTTGTAATCCCAGCACTTTGGGAAGCCGAGGAGGGTGGACCACAAGGTCAGGAGATCAAGACCATCCTGAGACCATTCTGGCTAACTTGGTGAAACCCCGTCTCTACTAAAAATACGAAAAGTTAGCCAAGTGTGGAGGCGGGTGGATGTAGTCCCAGCTACCCGGGAGGCTGAGGCAGGAGAATCGCTTGAACCCGGGAGGCGGATGTTGCAGTGAGCTGAGATCGCGCCACTGCACTCCAGCCTGGGTGACAGAGCGAGACTCCGTCTCAAAATAAATAAATAAATAAATAAATAAATAAATAAATAAATAAATTCCCAGCTCCCGAACAAAAGAGATGGTCAACAGGGAGTGCTGGGAAAATTGAGGAAATCATACATTTCAAATATTTGTTTTTGTTTTTGGTGGAGTCTCACTCTGTTGCCAGGCTGGAGTGCAGTGATATGATCTAGGCTTACTGCCACCTTCACCTTCGGGGTTCAAGCGTTCTCCTGCCTCAGCCTCCTGAGTAGCTGGGACTACAGGTGCATACCACCATGCCCAGCTAATTTTTGTATTTTTAATAGAGACGGGATTTCATCATGTTGGCCAGAATGGTCTCGATCTATTGACCTCGTGATCCTCCCTCTCGGCCTCCCAAAGTGCTGGGATTACAGGCATGAGCCACCACCCACCTCCACATTTTCTTTTCTTTTCTTTTGTTTTCTTCCCTCCCTCCTTCTCTCCCTCCCTCTTCCTTCCTTCCCTCCTTCCTTCCTTCCTTCCTTCCTTCCTTCCTTCCTTCCTTCCTTCCTTCCTTCTCTCTCTCTTTCTTTCTTCTTTAGTGAATTCAGCTTTTTACCACTAGCAAAATTTCTCACGTTGACTTTTAATGAAGTGGCCTGTGCTTCACTGTGGGAGCCCAGCAGAACCATAACACAGAACGTGAGTAACTGATGGAAAATGGGCTGGTTTCCTGGAGCTGCCGTCAGGAAGCACTGCACACTGTGGGGCTTAAAACAACTCAGATTCATTCTCTCGCAGTTCTGGAGGCCGGAAGTCCAGGATCAAGCTGTTGGTGGAGCCACGCTCCCTCCAAAGCTCCAGCAGGATCCCTCTTCACCTCCTCTGGCGTCTGGGGGCTCCCGGCCATCCTGGCGTTCCTAGGTTTGCAGCTGCCGCACTCTGATCTCTGCCTTCCTGGACATGCAGCCCTCTTCCCTGTGTGTCTCTGACCTTACATGGCATTTTCCTTTTGTTTTCTTTCTTTCTTTTCTTTCTCTCTTTCTTTCTTTCTTTCTTTCTCTCTTTTTCTTTTTTTTTTTTTTTTTGATGGAGTCTTGCTGTGTCACCAGACTGGAGTGCAGTGGCACGATCTCAGCTCACTGCAACCTCCGCCTCCTGGGTTCAAGCAATTCTCCTGCCTCAGCCTCCCGAGTAGCTGGGACTACAGGTGCGCATGACCATGCCCAGCTAATTTTTGTATTTTTAGTAGAGACGAGGTTTCACCGTGTTGGCCAGGATGGTCTCAATCTCCTGACCTTGTGATCTGCCTGCCTGGGCCTCCCTAAGTGCTGGATTACAGGCGTGAGCCACCGTGCCTGGTCTTTCCTCTTCTTATAAGGACACCAGTCATGGGATTAAGGCCCACCCTAATGATGTCATCTTAATGATATCTGGAAAAAAGCCTATTTCCAAACAAGGTCACATTCACAGGTTACCAGGGTTAGGACTTCAACATATCCTTTTAGGAGGCACAATCCAACCAGAAGGTGAGAGGAAATAAGAGTTATGCTCTTCTGAAAGATGGCAAACATGGGCTAGCAAGAAGGTGATGGTGAATGTGGGGAGCACGATCTTGGAGGGGTCTCCGGAGACATGAAGATGGGGCAATCGCAAGTCCTCTGCCACGTACCTTTGTCCCATGAAACACCTTCCAGTTCCCGTGGCAGTGGTTTTTCACTTGTGAATATGGTGTTAGGTCATTGACAGAATGTAAATGGACAGAATTTAACCATCTTGATTTGTGGGGCAGAGTCCACAGTCTGTCTTCCAAGCCGAGTTTTGGCTGGACTGGAAGGGGGAACTGGGTCAAGGTGAGCAGACACAATGAAGAAGGCGGACGATGACTTCATCTGCAGTTCTGACCTCAGGCACATACTTTACAGCAGGGCCCGGGCACGATGTGGCACCTCTGCAACCCCCGTCGTGTCTTCCATCTGGTGATGCCTGCTGCTCTGGGAGCTGTCCTGGCAGTGTGGGTGCACCCTCGGAGCTGTGCAGCCCTGCCTCTGATTCCAGAGGCAGGGAATTCTTCAGTTTAAAAAACAGAAAACAAATCATCAGATCCAAAGGCTCCAACACCATAATCACCATACTTAGAAAAATAACCATAAAGCTGAAGGGCTATACTTGTCCTCTAATTTAAAAATGTAAAATCGTAGAAGCAAGTTTTCCAGTGACACATTTGTGACACACAAGGGGTTTCTGGTTTTCTCTAGAGGAGCTGTAGGGGCTCTTAGATGCCATAAGAGCTAAATTAAGACTGATTTACTTTAATTACAAGGATGAAGAGAAGCAGTAGGAAGTGGCGGGTTGGGCTGGTAAGTGTATGAGCTTTAGAATTGGTCAGACCCAGTTTTTAATCCTGATTCTATAAGTCCTAGCTGTGTGAACAGGTCAAATTCTTTTAGGACAAATGCAAGTACATTTAACCTCTGCCTTGGGCTTGTGGTGGGTTGTGCCTGATAGTGTGTACAAAGAACTTGGTGTGATGCCTGGGACTTGGTGGGTTCTCAGCAAGTGTGTCTCTGCACAGAGCACTGATCAAGGATCAAACCCATGAATGCAGCGTGTTATGGATGGAACTGTGGTCCCCCCAAAAAGATATGTTGAAGCCCTGACCTCCCGTACTTCAGAGTGTGACTTTATTTGGAGATAGGGTCCTTACAGAGGTAATTAAAGTTAAAGCAAGTCATTAGAGTGGTCCCTAACCCGATCTGAGCTGTGTCCTTGTAAAAGGAATGTGTGGACACAGAGACAGCCATGCATAGAAGGAAGGCGTGCAGTGGAGTGGGTGGGACACAGGGGGAAGATGGCCAACTACAAGCCAAGGAGGGAGGACATGAACAGAGCCTTTTCTGGCATCTTCAGAGGGAGCATGGCCGTGCCAACACCTTGATCTTGGATGTGTGGACTCTCCAAACTGTGAGCAATAAATGTCTGTTGTTTAAGCTCCCAGTCCATGATACTTTGCCGCGTGTGCCAGGACATTAATACACAAGGGTTGAAGCATCACCAACGCAGGAGATTGGGGGCACAAATTCAGTGGATGCCGTAAAAGTTGGGGGCTGTTTGCACCATCGGGTCTAACCGTACTCAGTACAAGATCTGCATCAGCTCCCGTAAATGCCACAGCCGCCAAACACCAGTGAAAGCACAAACATTCAACATAAAGGTGCCCTTTTTAGCAGCCGCCTTGCAATTTCTTTCTCTATTTTTATTAGTTAGGTCTATAAAAAGACCAGAACATCTTGAAGATTGGGAAAGCATTTGGGTGCAGCATAGCCACTGAAAAACCCCCACCAGAGAGAAGAGCTCGAGTGCATCTCTGACATCATGCTGTAACAATGTATAATTATAGGAGATATTATTAAATTGTAAAATGTGAAGCTGGGAAAACATGTAATTTGGTAAGCTCGGGCTCCTGCCTGGTGTAATTACACGCCTCTCCTTCCGTTGACATTGTATTTACAGGGCGAATATTTTCTGGGCTCTTGCCAGTGGTTAATGTGAGACACGTCAGAGAATATGCCAAGGTGACAAGTCAGGGTCAAAAAGAACACTCATCTTATTTAGTACATAATTTTTTATTTACACTATGACGTGATAAGATTCATCATTCACTTTTAATGAATGCTGACTGGAAAGTTAATGGTGACTTCCTTCCTTAACAGTCTAGTTGCTTCTGTGGACTTTGTTTTAAATGGCCCGCTTTGGTATTTATGATATAATCATTTAGAAATGTAAGTTAGTAATGATTGGATTAGATGAATGACTTGAGTTTAAAAACATTGTAACAACTTATAGCCTGAATCTTTGGGGATTAGAGCAGATTTTTCAGCCTCGGCACTATTGATGGTGGGGTGGGGTGGGGTGGGGTCCCTGGCCTGTGCATTGCAGGGTGTTTACAGCACCCCTGCTGTGACAAGCAAAGTGTCTCTAGACACTGCCAAGTGACCCTTGTGGGAAGGGGGGTGCAAAATTGCCCCAGCAGAGAATCCTGGGCTATGGGAAGGGGGTAAAGGATTATGCAAGGATTAGTCAAGGTCAAATGTGGAGTGAAGTCATAGCAGCTAATGCACCATGCCTGATGCCGGAGTAGTAGAAAATCAGTGTGGATTTTTATCTCTGGACAATTCCACTTTTCCAAGTCAATTGTCTTGTTTGTTTCCCCAGTTTTGTATGATGAAATCAAATACATAGTTATTGATAAAGCTGAAGTGAATGCTAAGATTATAATCCTGTCCAGAAATACTCGTAATATGTAATTGATCACAGGGAATGGGGAGAAATGGACCCCTATCCTCTTTAAGCATGGTCTTTCCTTTCTAGCACTCCTTGTCCCCACTGGTGGCATCATCTTGTTTAGGGCTCCCTAGCTGATCTTAGCGCTTCCAGGAAAGTTGATTTGGAGGGTGTTTAAATTAGCTGATCATTAAAATTAGCCCACATGGCCTTGGAAGTAAGCAATGTTGGAAACTCATTGCAGATTATTAGTGAACAGGGGTGCCACAGGTATGAGGGGCATGAGGCTGGGTGGGCGACCAGGGCCACAGCTGACCCAGGCCTTCTCAGGCTGCCAGCATGGATGCCACTCATTGTTTTATCATCTGACACCTGCTTTTCCTCTTGCCCTCCAAGATATCCAAAGAGATGATTGGGGCCCTTCATGAATCTTAAAATATCCCGTGGTTTCTGGTGTCCAGGGTCCCCTTCATTTCTCTTCCTGTAAAACGGGTGGTGGGGTCAAGGGCATTCCATTTTCTTCCACTCTTAAAACCCGGGGCCTGTCCAGGTCTTCAGGCTTCAGCTCCCCCTTCCAGGTCCCCACTGTCCATGCACACCCCCACCATGGGGGCACGCGACCCTACAGCACTGCAGTCTCTCTCGTGGCCGGCAATACACCAGAGTGCCTCCTCAGTTCATCGTCAGCAGTGTGCGGTCCCCAGCCTCTTTGGCACGAGGGACCAGTCTTGTGGAAGACAATTTTTCCTTGTACAGGGTGGTGGGGGAAATGGTTTTGGGATGAAACTGTTCCACCCCAGATCATCAGGCATTAGATTCTCATTAGGAGCTGGCAACCTAGATCCCTGGCATGCGCAGTTCACAATAGGCTTCCTGCTCCTATGAGAATCTAATGCCACCACTGGTCTGACAGGAGGCAGAGCTCAGGCGGTAATGCTCACTCGCCCGCTGCTCACCTTAATGCCAACACTGGTCTGACAGGAGGTGGAGCTCAGGCGGTAATACTCACTCGCCCGCTGCTCACCTTAATGCCAACACTGGTCTGACAGGAGGAAGAGCTCAGGCGGTGATGCTCACTCGCCTGCTGCTCACCTCTTGCTGTACGACCTGGTCTCAGTTCCTAACAGGCCATGGACCAGTACCAGGGTTGGGGCCCCTGGCTCTTGGTAACACAGGAATGCACCTCCTGCATCCTCACAGGACCTTCCAAAAGGGCTCTCTGGTCAGAACTGTATTTTTGAGAAATTTCCCTCCCTTCTTGATCCAATGTCCCTTTTAGAGATGGTCTCCATGGACAGGTTCCTTCCTGTGGTCCCTGGGAAGGGCCATGCCTTCTGGGCACCCTGATGCTGCCCTGCCTAGTCTCCCAGGCCAGCACAGTCCCACGTTGTAGTGATGCCCTTCCTCCACTCGGATTCTCATCCCTTTGAACGAGGTCTGGGTTAGCAGCTCCTTTTCTTCCTTCTTCCTTCCCAGAGTGACTTTATCATCAAGTGGAAGCCAAGGAGCTTCATTTGTGCTTTTACAGTTATTTGTAATTGCCAAAGTAAGATATTTGTTAAATATACTAAAACCTCACCACATCTGCAAGCAGCAAACATCCCTTCCCCTGCCTGTCCCCTGAGGAGTCATTCCTGCACCTTTGGACAGTGTCTTGCCTCTGATGTTTGAACAAAAGAAACTGCCTGCCTGTGTGTTTTGGGTGAACTGGGGCCTCTGCAGCCCTCTGTGACATCCTGTACCCACCGAGGTCATCGCTAACATTGTAAGCCAGATCCCTTGCTAAGGGTCTACATGGATTCTCTCACTCAAGCTGCATTTTTGTCCATAGAAACTAAGGCCTAGAATGATGGAATAACTGGCCCCATGTCACTCTGGCAGCTGTGAGCTTCAACATTAGAAACTAAGGCCTAGAATGATGGAATAACTGGCTCCATGTCACTCTGGCAGCTGTGAGCTTCAACATAAGACCATAGCTCTCCCTCCCTAGAATTAGAGAGTGTAGGAAGAGAGGAGAAAGCACCCTTAAAGCAAGCCAGTGGAAGTCAATGTCTTCCTAAAGTGCGTTTGAGGACTGCCCTGTTATTCTCAATGTCTGGTTTGGACACTGGTTCTGACATCCATTGTTCACGTTGAGATTCCTATCTTCCTTAGGATAAAAATTTGGCCCAGGGTATTCCCTCTTTTCCCCAAGGTCAAGGGTGGTCTTGACGCAAGTGAGGAATAGACCTAGGTCTTCTGTCTTTAGTCCCATGTTTTTTTGTTTGTTTGCTTGTTTTGTTTTTGTGGGTTTTTTTTCCAGAAAAAAAACATCTTTTCACCTAGAGAAGGTGGAGGGAGGGGTACAGGGCACTTGTTCTCTTGCTTCAGAGCCATGGGATGCAGCGAGTTCCAGAGGTGAGGCTTTCAGGGAGGTATTTGGCAGAGGCATCTCATGCAGGTCACCAGGTGTGACTGGCTTCACAGCAAAGGCCCCACTGGAGGGAGAGTGGCAGCCAGGTCAGCTCCATGCCCTCACGCTCTCTTCCCAGGATCTCAGGAAACCACTGGACGTGTCTCAATGCCTGCGTTTTCATGTGCAAGACAGGGGATTTAAAAAGATGGGGCTGCCTAACTTGGACTGGGGGTATGAATTGCATGAAAGGCTTAAAGCCACTCCCTAGGATAGAGCCACGCTGTGCTGGGTTGGCTGACAAGACACTTCACGTTAAGCAGGAGACGCTGCATTGAAGGTTGTTTATTGAAATGTTTCTGTATGGAGGAACAGAACAGCATGGAGACTTCTCTCTGTGCACTGGCCGCTGGGACAAGACAGTGCAGTTGGCTGTGTGTTAAGGGAGCTCAAAAGACACTTCCCCATCTTTTTATCATTGCTTTCCAGAATACTTCAATGCATCTCTCTCTGTGTCCACCCACCTGGGCAAGGTACGGGGACGATGGCCACGACACCTGGAGTCCCCCAGCTCTCCAGGACTCAGCAAGGAGCAGGTGAGGGTGCAGGCTGTCTTGCTTGGGTTAGATCCACACCCCCAGCCTACCTCACAATGAAGCCTCACCAGAAGAATTTGGTGTGTGCTTCAAAGTGTCCTTAGCTCTGCCAGGTGGAGTCAGCCCTAATCTCCATCTTGACTTGCGGAATTTAGGATGCAAGGAGATGCACTGTTCCCTTGGTGTTCTGATTCAAACGCTTTCCCCAAGAATTGGTTGCGTGTCTTCCATTGGTGACCGTGCATCTGGAGACCATGAAGAAAGCACAACATTATTAACTTAAAAGATGGAGATCATGGCCAAGCATGAATACCACTATCCTGTAGCTTTGTTGCCCCCAGGATGGTTAGTTTGATGTGTCTCTTTGGCTAGGCTACTGTACTGTTATTCAACCAAACACTGATGTAGGTGTTGCCGTGGAGGTATTCTGTAGATGCGATGGTAGTGGATTGGATAGTGTCTCCCCCAAATTCATGCCCACCCAGAACCTCAGCACATGAGCTTATTCAGAAATAGGGTTTTTGCAGATGTAATTAAGGTCAAGGTCAAAGTCAAGATAAAACACTGGATTAGGGTGGGCCTTAAATCCAATGAGACTGTCTTTATGATGGAAGAAGATGCAGAGATGCAGAGGGGAAGGCCAGGTGAAGAGAGAGGCGGAGATTGGAGCAATGCAGCCACAAGCCAAGGAATGCCTGGAGCCAACAGCAGGAAGAGGACAGGAAAGATTCTCTCCAAGAGCTCCCTGCTGGCACCTTGATTTCAGACTACTGGTCTCTTGAACAGCGAGGGAATAAATTTCTGTTCTTTTTAAGCCTCCAGTTTTGTAATGTGCTAAGACAGCCTTAGAAATGAGTATAACACCCCACAGCCAGCTCCAGGCTTAGTCCGGGTCCTGGGGGCTGCAGGTGGTTAACAGAGTTCTGGATTCAGAGACAGAGGTTTTGGTTTACATCCCAGTGACAGCTCTCAGAGCTGCATGGACTTGACCATATTTCTTCATTTCACTGAGCCTTAGGGGAGGACTAATATTCATTCACCACTGTTTTGAGATGTATAGTAGATAATGCCCGTAGGGAGAGCCTGTAAATGGTCATGGAATGAAAAGGTTCTGCTATGATGTACATATACACCCACACACAACGTTCCCTAAATTACCTGTGAAACTCTCCCCATGCTGGAAAACGACTCTGGAGGTTTTATTTTATAATGTATTTTTGGTTGCTCAAGGATTGATTTTTTAGTTCTAGGATTTCAAAAAAAAATCAGTTTGCTGCTAGTTTGGCTTTTTGCCCTTTCCCAATTCCTCATCTTTCTAGCATGTCAAGAGACAAAAATAAATAAATAAATAAAAACAAAAACAAAAAAGGGTGACAATTGCGGATCTTTCCTTTATCCTGGCTGCAGCTGGGAAACACTTGGTGGGGTTGGGGGCAGATCGAAAAATTGTTTACTTTTTTATGCAAACTCTGACTCTACCTTTTAAATGATCACTGATTTTGTTTTCTAAGATGGGGCTTTAAGAATCTTCATTTAGGCTGGGCGCGGTGGCTCACGCATGTAATCCCAGCAGTTTGGGAGGCGGAGATGGGCGGATTGCCTGAGGTCAGGCGTTCAAGGCCAGTCCGGCCAACATGGTGAAACCCTGTCTCTACTAAAAATACAAAAAAAAAAAAAAAAAAAAAAAAAGAAAAGAAAAAGAATTTGCCGAGCATGGTGCTGTGCACCTGTAATCTAGCTACTCAGGAGGCTGAGGCAGGGGAATTGCTTCAATAAGGGAGGTGGAGGTGGCAGTGAGCTGAGATTGTGCCACTGCACTCTAGCCTGGATGAGAGAGTGAGATTCTGTCTCAAAAAAAAAAAAGTAACTTCATTTAAAATAATAATAAAATAGTTGATTGTGATGCTTATGGTCCTAATATTGCTTTAAGGACATCATTGGTACAATGAATACCATTTGAATATGAATTATGAATTAAATAAATGGTGTCAATGTTAAATTTTGATACTAAAGTGTGGTTATAAAAGGGAAGTCTTTGCTTTTGGGAAATATATATAGAGAAGTATTGAGTGATAAAGGGATATGATATTTCTAGCTAACTCTCAAATGATTCAAATGATAATAATATATATATAAACAGAGAGAATAATAAAGCACATAGGGAAAAATGTAAGTAACTGTATATATGAGTAAAAGATATACTGAAGTTTCTCATTCTATTCTTGCACTATTCTTGTAATCTAGAGATTATATCAAAATAGAAACTCACCAAAAACAGTTAAAAAATAAAAATAAAATTGTCACTGAAAATGGATTAATCTTGTTTATCTTAAGAGTTTTTATCAGTTCATGTTTGGACTTAATGATTGTCAGTTTTTATCAGTTCATGTTTGGACTTAATGATCTGATACAGAGAGCACCCGACAGACAGAAAGGAGAGGAGTGAACCTGATCTGACGTTCCATCCTGCATTCTAACATAGGGACTCAGAGAAAAATCAAAAGCTCAACACTGCACTCTCTGCAGAAGTGAGGAGCGGCTCTGAGCGGGTGTCCTCAGGAGGGGCAGGAGAGGCTTGACAGCTCCGTCTATACCCAGCCCAGCCTCTCTTTGGTGGACCCAACTGCAGGACCCAACCCCTACAATGTTCCCTCCTTTGTGCTTAACTGTCTTGAGCAAAAGCATCCCCAAACCTAGCAAACTCAAACCAAACAGCCCCACAGCCGTGTGCAGCCAGCCACCCTCCGGCACTGACTGCATTCCTTCTGCTTCTGGCTTTAAACTTCCATGTGGAATGTTACATTTCTCAAGGAGGCTTTTGATTTCATGAGCAGCCCATTCTGCCTTTCCTGAGAAAGCTGCCAAGATGGGGGAAAGGATTCCTACTCTTTGGAGGAGGAGGAACAGGCTTGCGTTTATTTGACAACTGTGCCGGCCACTGAGCCAAGCCTTGGGGATACAAGAGGGACCACACAGCCTGGCCCTGCCTTCACAGGACAGAGAGGAATTACACCTCACAAATCAGTGGCTTCGGACTCTGTCCATGATGAGGAGGAGAGGTCTACTGAGCTAGGAGGCCTTTCACAATGAGTCTTATCTTGAGGGAAACCAGGGAGGGCTTTCTGGAGGAAGTCAGAGCTGAGCTGAGATGTTTTAGAGAAGAATTTGTATGCTTGTTTTAGAAATGAAGGTCTTGATTTTCTCTATGTGATTTACATCCACCAGGACACTTGAGTTACAGTGAAACTGGCTATGATAAAATGCAATTTGGGATTATTTATTTTAAGGAATTTCATAAAATTTCTCTAATTAGGGATACCCCTTTGAATACAAACAGAGAGCCCCAGAGAGCATTAAGGGAGAAAAGTGAAATCTTTTCTGCTTTGCTGTAGAGAAGTAAAGGTGCCGTGAGCACAAGGGCTTGGCCCAGGAGGTGGGGAGGATGATGTGGTGGAAGCGTTTCTCGCAGAGATCTCTGGTTTGCTGTGACTCAAGGACCTAGAACAAGTGCAGAAACCCGCAGGTCATTGGAAACGTCAATCAGGAGAGGTGGTCTGGGAACAACTAGGGCCCAAAGTATTTAAAACTGCTACTAAGAGGAGGCACTTTTAGCCCTGGGGCATTTTGGGAGGAGTCCCCCCCCCATCCCCCACCCACCCCTGCCATCTGATTTTGGAGATAATTTCAGATGTTGTTCGGAGAGGAAAAATTCTACCCAGAAGAGAATGGGGGTGAGAGTTAGTCTCTGATTCTCACCTAAGGCTGCACATCAGGATTAACTAAGAACTGATAATGCAAACAATCTAAAACAATTAAATGAGAACCTTTAGAAATCTCCCGGGTTTATTTTCAGGCGCCGTCAGAGCAGTGAACCCTGTGCTAGAACTACCCTCAGAGAGAAAGGGATTTCAGGGCCTGGAAGACAGCGCAGCGCCAGGTTCGGGAGGAGCCCAGGCTCAGAGCTTTGGGATTGCTGTGGGCCAGGAGTTCTCGAACTTTACCGCCCATCAGAATCCCTGGGGCATTCCGAAAAGCCCGATGTCCACACCACACCTCACAGAAACGGAATCACAATCTGTGGCGATCGACTTGTTAGCATTTTTAAAATTTATTTTTTAAAAAATTCCCAGTGAGAGGTCAAGCATTTTGAAAACATATACAGGCGAGTTGGAGAACCAGGGTCCTAGACCGGGGTTCTCACACGTGAGGGTGGGTCGGTGCGACCCGGAGCGGGAGTTCATTCACAGATGGCTTGGCCCCACCTCCAGAGTTTAGGATTCAGCGGGCCTAGAGGAGGGGCAAGAATTTGCATTTCTGACAAGTTCCCAAGTGGTGCTTCTGTTGCAGGTCCTGGCACACCCTTTGAGAACCATGGTCAGGGTCCAGCTGACCCTCCTGGTCTCATCAGCCTGAGTGCGTGCTGGTTCCTGCCGGCACCGAACGAGGCACCCAGCGCCGACCAGGCCCATCATGCCGCAGCCCTGGGTTGCTGCTCTGAGGAGTGAGTCATGGTCCTCCTGTGGCTTCATGGAAAGCACACGTGATCCCTGGTTAGGTGCCTCTTGGGGGTTCCCGTCTGTCATCTGCCTTCATGGACCCTGCTGTGGCTGTGACTGAAGAGCGAGCAGAGCCAAGCGGAAGCAAGCCGTCGGAAGGACAGCCGCCTTCCAGCCACAGGGAGCCCACACCACCCGCGGGAAAGGAGACAGCCAAAGCCTCTAACAGACAGAAGGATTTATTCTGGGCGCTTATGTCTGAGAACCCCTTTCCCCCAACCCTTTAGAAAATCAAGCAAGGGTTGAGTTATTCAGGATAAGAAGTAGAGATAAATTATTCAACCAGTTAGTTTGACATTTAAAAGGCTATTTATAAAAATGATCATTTCTCAAGAAAATAAAAATAGTGAGAAACTCAAAATTGGCAGTTCTAGCAGAGGGAGATATAATATTATGCAGAAAGCATTTTCGAGGTTTCCTGAAAACATATTTTGGGTCTATTCAGTGTTATTTCTCCTCACTGACATTCGACTAATCCTCAGGCAAGATTCCTTAATCCTAAACCTTCTTTTTCACCTTGTCAATTTAAAAAAATGCTTATTTGTTCATTATTATGTCCACGCCAACGCTGGCATCAGATAATTCTGGAGGGGGCTGGCTCCCCACAGCTCCCCGGAGCTGCACGGTGGAGGAGGAAGAACTGGCAACTGTGTTTTCCACGTGTGGGTGTTTCGTGGCATTACACCGGAAGTTACGTGGCACTGCACACATGGGAGAACTCTTTTTAGCTCTTGATTCCAGTAGGAGGTGACTCTTCCCCCCAGAAAATGAATTTAAATCTCTTCCCTCCCTCCACATTGCCCCATGCCTGGTTGCAGTTTATTGAGGACACAGCTGACAAAAGCATCCACCCTCCAGAGAGATATCAGGTGGAGAATGCCTGGATGGGAGCGAGAGACCTGGAGCACCATGGTGTTCATTATTTCAGTTAACACGTGAAGGCCAAAACTCCCATGGCCAACAGGCGTGGGGCCACCAGGCAGTAGCATCCTCCCAGCCAGTCCAGATCATGGGAGTCCACATCGGTATGGGCCACCACTCAAGACCCAGCTGGATGCTGTCCATCCTGCTTTATGACTACAGTCAGTCCTTGAGGGAAAAGAAAATGACAATTCTTATCAGAACCCATAGTATATTATCCATGGTGCCTGTGAGCAGTACATAGAGTCCATTAATACATCAGTGGCCTGTGGGCCAACCATCCTCAACTTAACTTTGGTTGGGTTTATAAAGCCTCAAGTTAAAGAATCCCTTTAGGTATTGTAAATATGGATACTTTACCGGGGGAGCTCCTGCATGACTATCATGCCCAAGATTTGGTTGCTGGGACCATCTAATGCCAGTATCTCCTGTATTGCACATTTATCCCATAGGCCCATGTGCACCTGGATGGCAGGTACAACAGGACGACCCTTCTCTCCCAGGCCTGAAGTGGGCTAGACCCTCCTGGACATTGTGTGTCAGATTCTCCCTTTCTCTTGCTGAGCATGTAGCTGTTTTGTACCCTAAAGGAGATATTGCAAGGTTCTAGCCAGCGCCTTATTCTTTAATAAACTTTTTGTTTCGGAATAATTTTAGATTTGTAGAGAATTTGCAAAGATAGCACAGGGTCACACAGGGATGGTTCCAAAAGTGAGCACATTCCTAAATTCACACTCCAGCACCTCAGTTACCTACTCCTAAATCTAGCTACATTCCCGCGTATCCTTCACCTAGCTTCCTCTCATGCTCCCATCTAACGTGACCATCGTGCTTTTGCTACAGCTAAGAGATGAAGGTTCGTGCATTCCTATGATCCAAACACTAGACTTCATTTGGATTTCACTCATTTTTCTACTTATGTCCTCTTTCTCATCCAGGATCCCACACTGCTTAATCTTAGTTTGTTTGTGCTGCTGTAACAGAATATCTAAGACTGGGTAGCTTATAAATAACAGAAATGTATCTCTCACTGTTCTGGAGGTTGGGAAGTCCAAGATCACAGCGCCAGCAGGTTCTGTTGTCCAGTGAGGGCTGCTCTCAGCTTCCAAGGAGGCATTTTGTTGCTGCATCCTCCAGAGGGGAGGGACGCTGTGTCCACCTGTGGCAAAACAGCAGAAGAGCAAGCTAGCCAAATGCTGCACGAAGCCTCTTTATGGGGGCCTTAATCCTATTGACAAGGGAGAAACCCTCATGGCCTAATCAACCCTTAAAGGCCTCACCTCTTGATACTATCACATTGGCCATGAAGTTTCAACACCTGAATTTCGGAGAGGACACATTCAGACCACAGCATTGGTCATGCCTCTTTAGTCTCCTGTGGTCTGTGACAGTTTCTCAGCCCTTCCTCGTTGTTTTTCCTGACCTTGACACTTTTGAGGAGTGCTGGCAAGGCATTTTGTAAAATGTCCTTTCATTTTGCTTCTCTGTTGTTTTCCTCCTGTTTACACTGGGTTTCTGGGTAATTTTTGGAAAAAATACCACGAAGGTGAAGATTCCTTTGTATTGCATCATGTCATGGACATGACATCACTGGGGATGATAACCCTGACCTTTTGGGTTTGGGTGGTGTCTGCCAGCTTCCTCCGCTGTCATGTTACTACTTTCCCTTTGCTCTGCTCTTTGGAAGTGAGTCACTAAGTGGAGCCCACACTCAATGGGGCAGGGGCGGTGTTAAGCTCCACGGATGGAGGGGAAAGTTCACATACATTATTTGGCTTTTTTTTGAGAGGTGGGTCCACATGTCCCCTGAATTTATTTTTTTGCCAACAGATAACGAAAACATCAGTAAGGCAGAGAGCTCTTGTTCAGTGATGACATGACAGATGTTAGTGTCTGGTGTCTGGATGGCCAGTGCTACAGGAGTGGCCGTGGTACCCCAGATGATGGGGCACCTAACCAAAGGCAAGAGGTGGAGCTACGTGAGCCTGATCAGATGATCTGCTGACCTCAGTCCTGTTTTGGAGAGCTGCACTGACCACTAACCAGGAAACGAGGCTCTGCCCCAGCCCGAGACCTGCTGCCAGGCCTTGGTGGTGTCAGGGAATGGGAAAGCTCCCTGGCAATACATAGACAGTCATAATTAATGGAGACATCACAAGACAGTTTCCTGAATGAAGGTAGAAGTGACAACCTCCTCTTCAAGGCTATAATTAAAGAAGCAGTTGAGAAATGTTATCTTTCCAATCCTGCATATTCAAACTTATCTGTCACAAACATATTGTTAAACTCCCCCTTAGGTCTCGGTTGTCACTTTCAAATGCCTGCTTGCAGCCACGGTTTATTATGCCTTTACTCTTGAGTACTTTTACAGAGCACTTATGCCTTTCGAAGGGCTATCTAGGTCTTCCGTAGGAGGGTGAGGGTTCAAAGCAAAGCAAATCCACCTTAGGTCTTTTATCAATTGTTCCAGGTACCTGTACTGGGAACAATCTCGTAAAAAGCCCAGCTTTTTTAGATGCATTTTCTTCCTGTTAGGTTTTCACATGGGAAGATCAACAGTGTTACCAAAAATGGACTGGAGTCTATAAGTCATTAATTGAGCTCTGTCCAGGGTGCCTAGGATTTTGTTTCTCTCATTTAAAATATTTTAATGCAGTAGCTTTTACTTGTGATATTTATTTATTGTTGAATCTCTTCAGAAGAGGAGAAGCACTTTTCACCCCCATGGCCAGATCTGTGCCTATAATCTCTGGAAGGAGAAGAGGGAAGGAGACTCGAATTGCATTTGCAGGGTCAGCACAGGACTGAGCCATCGTTTCTTTTTGTTGCAAGTTTGTGATGTTCAGATGACACGAGGCAGGATTTGTGCCTTGTTGCTGCTCAGGGCTGGCGACACCGTGGGTATTCCATTATCGTATTGTAATCACAAAGAAAGCAACGTGGTGGCTCCGAATTCACGCCTGCTGGATCAATACTGCTTGTCTGGTCTGATTTGTTTGTTGTTGTCAAGTCAGACTGCTCTGGAATTGGAATATTGAGGGGAATGCATTTCAGACATAATCGTGGGAAATCCTCAAAGAAGCCACCCTGATGAGAGAGCAGAAAAACTTCTGGATAAGATCTGCCAAATAGCTGAAGTTACAGTGTCTGAGGGGCTTATTTATTTCATCCCCAGGATCTGTTAATTACTTCCTCTCCCCATTTTATTAGAGGCAGAGTGTGGCTGCTCCCCACTTCCCCCACCATTATTGCTTTGTTCTTGGAGTGGGCAGAATGGTCAGGCTAGGCTGTGCTATGCATTTTGTTCATTTCTTCACCTGGAGACACACATCCCTCTGCCCTATGATGACTGACTCATTCCCAAGGTTTCTGGGCTGATGTTAAGGTAAATGCTCTTTTCTGTACAGATCCCATACCTTCTTTGAAACAGAATCCTATGAACGCTGAAAGCAATGTGGGTTCAGAAAGTGTTGTAAGGGGTAGAGGGCGTGGAGGCTGGCACAAGGCTCGCAGCTCCCTGAGGTCTTTGTTCTTCTCATCAGCAGCTCCTGCCTGGATCTGCCCTGTTTGTTGTGATGTTGAATCGGGTCACCACCCAAATGACAGCTGGCTTTGGTTTAACCTGTGTTTTTCCAGAGAAGCCTTTGGCGTGGAATGGGCATTCCTGGAGCCACTGGAATTGTGTGGTGGCAGGAGCCCGGAAGCTGGTATGCCTCTGTGAGAGTATCCTTGCTGAGGAGTGGGGGGGGTGGGGGGGCACAGCTATTTGACCTCTAGGGCACCTCACCCCCCGCAGGAACAGGGTATGGCCTGTGCAAGCAAAAATACGCGATCAAGCTGTGTCTTTCTGCAGCCAGTTGTCCCATGGTCAACTCTGAGGGCTCCTGAGATGGACCATGCTATGAAATTGGAGCTGTCAAGGAGGAATCAGGCTCATTACAGAGATCCCTGCTCACCAGTGCTTCTGCCACAACAATAAGTCATGCCATCAATTTTCAAAGTGCTGATGCAAATGCCCATGGATCATGTTCAAGATTTTATGAAACTTAATTAAACAAGATTATTCACCTGTATTATGTAACTGTACATGCATATTTGCACTTAACAGTATTTCTAATTCAATGTCAACATCACAATTCACAATGAAATATGACCCTGAAAATGAAAGATGGAAGTTGACATGAACACTTTTAAAAGATTTTTAATGTGCTTCTCACTGAGATATGTAGCATTTTCAACTTTTGTACAATCTGAAATGCATTCAGCACATTGGTAAAGAGCTGTGCAGATTTCAGTTAAAAAACAAACAAACAAACAACAACAACAACAAACAAACAAAAAACACAAACTGTTGCTAAAGCCAGAAGGGACATTTCAAATGGCTTTTTTTTGAACTACATTCCATGGAAAAATTTTATTTCACTTGTGCCATAGAAACATGGGCTTCTGGCACTGGGACAAACCCTACAGGTCATTGGTCACAGAGCCCCATTTTGCAAGTGAGTGACCAGAAGCCCAGAGGAGGAAAGTGGCCCACCAAGGCTGCCACTAACGAGGGGAGAACCATGCACTTGAGTTGGGGCTGATGGCAGTTCTGGGCATGCCCACTGTTTGCTCAGGGAGATGCAGGCCTTGCTGGCTTCGGAAGTAACATCCGTGGATTTGACATCCCCGCCCCCCATAGATCCTGTTATTCTCAAGGCTCCTTTTCTTATATTTTGAAATTTTCTTCCAATACTTTGCCAATATTAAGTTACTTGCTAAGAATGCTGGGCAGAAATAATCAGATGGAATAGCCAAAAGATCGGTTATCACATTCAACTAGTACAGTCCTGCTACAAAACCACCTGTATTAAAACAGAGAGAATGGCAGGCGCCAGATGGTTGAAAAGGGAACTTTATTTGTGTGTGCCAAGTGGAATTGAGAAATATTTGGTCAACAAATATTTCTCAGGCTGGGCCTGGTGGTTCACGCCTGTAATCTCAGCACTTTGGGAGGCCAAGGTAGGTGGATCACTTGAGGTCAGGAGTTCGAGATCAGCCTGGCCAACATGGTGAAGCCTCATCTCTACTAAAAATACAAAATTAGCCAGGTGTGGTCGGGGGCTCCTGTAATCCCAGCTACTCGGGAGGCTGAGGCAGGAGAATCACTTGAACCCAGGAGGTGGAGGGAGGTGGCAGTGAGCCAAGATCACACCACTGCACACTCCAGTCTGGGCGACAGATTGAGGCTCCATTTCAAAAAAAGAAACCCAACAAATATTTCTCATTGAGATTCTGTATCCTGATGTGCATTGATTTCAAAATTGATAAGTTTTTTATTTTTTATTTTTGAGAAGGGGTCTTGCTCCGTTGCCCAGGCTGCAGTGCAGTGGTGTGATCATAGCTCACTGCAGCCACGGACTCTTGAGCTCATAGAATCCTCCTGTCTCCCTCCTGAGTAGCTGGGACTACTGAGGCCACCATGCCTAGTTAAAATTAATAAAATTTAAAGTTGTTAGTGGAACAAATGCACCATGTAAATGTATACTACATAGTCCCATTAAAACACTCCAAAGAAGAGGTAAGCTTCCCAGGTAAACTCTAGACACATCATCTTTTGTTTCTTCACTGAATTTCACTGCAAGTCAAATAAAGGAAAGTTAATAAGGGAATAGAAATACATTCTTTAAAGTATTAAGCAGATATAAAGATTTGGAATCCAAAGTAGATTTCTGAGGAAATGGTATGAAAATAATTTCTCACAGCAGCTGGTTTGAGAAAATTCCCATCTTTAAGATCCCAGGAAATGCTTGGAAGAGTTTATCATTACCAGAATAATTTTAAAAATCATTAATTAGGATACAGCCTTATGTCTTCCTTATAAGCACGGTAGTCACACAGAGATATAGCCATATGTGATTCAATTTTTTAAAAGAAAAATGGTCTGTGTGTATCTGGAATGAACAGTCTTGGGGAATGTGTCAGCTGGTATTTAACCACACATCTGGATGCTCATGATCTGAGGTCCATGTGCCTGGCTGGGGAACAGTGTCCTGTGGGTCACGTGGCACAGTGAGTAGAAAAGTCCCAGATGGGAAAGCCCCAGTCAACCAGCCAGTGATGGCTGTTCTGTTCTCTGTCATTTATTCACTGTGCAAATTTGTTCGAGTTACTTACGCATTTTGTTCTTCACCTGTAAAATGAAGACATCAGAGTGGCTAACCTCTAAGGCCTCTTAGAATTCCTAACACATTACAATTCGTCAAATCTCTGACTCTTCTTAGGAGCCATCTAAATCAGCTCTGACAGCTTCATAAGGAGTCTTGAAGAACCATTTGGCTTCCAAAAATTCACCTGCCCATTCAGACAATAATGGTTGGAATGGATTTATGCAAATGTGTCCAGGGGTGTCTTCCTTGTCCTTTAAAAGGCCACCTGAAATGCTAAGCTTATATTTCTCAGGTAATTTTGATATTCTGCAAGATCTGTTGGGATTTAGAACACCCAAAATTTCTGCTACCAGGACTTATGTCTATATATTAACACACCAGAAACACATCCCAGCCAGTACTTCAGCTAGAATACATCAACTCAAACCAGCAAAACGAGGGACAGGCCTGTTATGGTTTGAGTGTTTGCATCTCTCCAAAATGTGTATGTTGGAACCTAATACCCGCTGTGATAGTGTTGAGAGGTAGGGCCTTGTAGGAAGTGAGTAAGTCATGAGGACTCTGCCTTTTTGCCATGCTACCCTTCCATTTCTTCTGCTATGAGGATTCAGCCTTCTTTCCCTTTTGCCCCTTTCGGCCATGGAAGGACACAGCAAAAGGGTGCCACCTTGGAGGCAGAGAACAGCCTCCACCAGATACTGAGCTGTCGGCACCTGGTTCTTGGCCCTCCCAGCCTCCAGAACTATAAGAAATACATTTCTGTTCTTTATCAATTATCCAGTCCCAGGTATTTTGTTATGGCAGCACAAAGACAAGACCACAGTATTTTCACTCCAATCCCATCTCCCTTCTTTTATCTCCCACTTGTGCTTGCGTGACTTTGACATTTCACTTAAAAAAATTCCTTGGGCTTCAGTTTCCTCATCTCTAAAATTAGAACTTAAACCAGGTGACTACTAAGGCACTTTCCACCTTTAAGACTGCGGCAAGTAAAGCTATCTAGTTTCATATGTAATTTGAGGAAGGCTGATACACTGAAGTAAGAGGAAGCTATGAATAGTAGGAGCGTGCATTTCAGGAGAGACCACAAACCCATTCTGATGCACAGTAATTGAAGAGTTCTGTTTCATTTCAGCTCCAGTCTTTACATGCAGAAAAGCCTTGTGGTTTTAGTACTCGTCGGGGATGTCGTAAAAGTTTAGGCTTTATCATGATCTAAGAAGGTCAGACCATTTTTTTGTCTAGGTTTGAATTCTGCTAGTTTTGCTGGCTTCACAGAAATCTCTGATTAAATTTCCTTGCGCCTTACTGTAAGGAGTTTTTGACACGATTGTAGCATATGCTATAGTTTTTAAGGATTAAACACTCCTCCAGCTCCCAGGAAAAATATCATATTACTAGGAATTTTTTTCTAATACAAGCAACAATAACAACAACAAACACAAATAATCCCCATGCCCTCATCTACCCTCTTTCCCTAAAGTAGAATGATTTTCTTAAGGAATTCGATGAGATGTCGGGGGATAACTTAGGTAGTTCTGGAAACTGGTTTCCCAAGCAACACACTCTACCTTCTTGCATTTAGGGACCCCGAAGCATAATGGTCGCCTCCCACCATTCCTAGCCAAGCGAAGGGAAGGGAAGCCGGCCAGTTAATGAGCTCTACCCACACAGACTGAGCTCCTGGGCAGCTTTGCCCTGCTTTGTACTTAACTGAGAAGGGGTGAGAATCAATGGATAAGGAAAACAGATACTAGGAGCTAGAAAGACCAAGCTAGATAAACAGGAAAGGAAATGTGCCAAAGCAAACACAGCTAAACATGGAACAAAAGAATACTTTTTTGGTAAATAAGAAATAAACCCCACTATTTTGTATTCTCAGAGATTCAAGATATATTGTTTCTGCTAAGCAAAAATAGGGTTTTATAAGAAAAGGGAGCCATCAGAGAATAACAAAGCATGGCTGAAATAAAAGGCAATTGCTGAAATTAAAAAACAATCAATGAAGTTTGGAATATAAATAGAGAAATCTCCCAGAGGAGAGAATAATAGCAAAAGAGACTGAATATATAAGTGAAAAAGTAAAGGACCTGAGGGAACAACGTAGGAGGTCCAATACAAGACTAATAGCCAATAAAAAGAAAATCGAGTGGAAGGCATCACATACAAAGACATTGTGAATTTCCCAGAATTAAAGAACGAAAGTGTTCAGACTGAAAAATCCCACTGAGTTCTCAATGCTATGAATGAGGAAATGTAGGCCCAGATGTGTTCCTGACGGATTTCAGAAAAGCAAGCATGCAGGAAATCTCTTTCAGAAAACCAGCATCAGCTTGAAATAAGATCTCTTGCTCTCCGCCGTGGATCTAAAAGTCTACAGTGTGGCATTGTCCAAATTCTGAAGGAAAATGGCATCGAACCAAGATTTCTCTACCCAGACAAACTATCAATAAAACATGGAGGCAGGAATAAAAACTTTTCAGGTGTGTATGCATTCAAATATTTTATGTATCAATATCCTTTCACAGACAGATACTTACTTAACTTTGTGTGCAAGCAAAGCAAGAAACAGGAAGACAGGGATTCCATATGCCAGGTCCCACCCAGCAGGAAGGCGTCTCCCAGGGTGAGGTGGTGTCACCTGGACAGCAGCCAGAGCTGGGCATGGCACCTGGGGAACTCCTAGAAGGGTTTTTTGGGGGAAGAAGGACTTGGTTGAATAGAACAGACACTGGAGAGGTGGAAGAAAATAATAAAAGGATGTGAAGAAGGCAAATTTTTAAAAAGTAAAAGGGATTAGAAACTTCAGGAAAAATAACAAGCAGTACAGTAAAAGAAACGTAATCCAAGCACACTATTTGGTTGTAGGTAAGTATATTCTCATAGTCTTAGCAAGGTAAGCCCTGTTGGTTGGTTTATAGCAACCTCTTAGATAAAGCACTGAAGAGTCATTGAGTAGGGGCTAGTATCTTACACATTTGAGGGTCATAGTATGTGCGTTATACTTGATGGAACAATAAATGAATGTGTATTCCTTCATATTACAAAGGAACCAACAGGAAAACAAAAAATAGTGATGTACTTGATTGGGTATAGTGGTAGAATATAATTAAGTTGAACTCTCAATATCTCAGAGCATGCCATCAATAGCCAATGCTTAAATCGACAAGTTAAGTAATGCCCACAGGAGCACATTACTTAGAGAGATGGCAGAGACCACCAGAAGAGGTCACAGTGGGGACAGTTCACAGGGCTCCTCAGAGAAGGGGGACCGGGAAGCTTGGGGTGGAGGATGCTTGTTCTTATAAGTCCTCCTGCACTACTGGAGGCTTTTATTCTTGTACTGTGTTATCAGGGAAATTTATAAAACTGTACACAACAACTGAAAAACAAACAAACAATAGGTCTTTTGCCTGGATGGCCTGGGCTGGACAAGGGGTGGATGTGGGGTCTGCCTGGACAAGTGCTGTGGTGCTGGTCCTGGCTCTGGGCTCTGAATTCCATGCCCTTGATGCTCCTGACACTCCCCACTTTCCTGGCTGCTACCCCAAGGATGCAAGTTGCCCTCAATGCCCCAGATGTCAGGATCCGGTCCCATTGGAGTTTCTCCCAGGGACACACACAGGCCCTTCGTCCTGCTTTGATTCCTAGATGTCCCCGGGGACCTACAAGTCAGGTTCATTCACCTTCACTGAAGAATAAAGAAAAAATTTCAATAATAAAGTCAAAGATGATTCCTCCCACAAGTGCTGTGGCTGTCTCCATTCTGAAAGTCCCCATCTACCCACCACCCCCCTACACACACATATTCACAGATACAGGCACATGGTAACATACATGCATACACATGCAGATTCACACACATGCACATAGTCACACACACACTCTCTCACGTACACATTCATGCACACACACACTCAGAAACACACACATATGCTGGGGAAGAAGCACGTCAGGCTTCTGCAGGCTCCCACAGGACACAACCTGAGGGGACTCTTCTGAGTCGTGTCTGACTCACCCGACGGAGTAAGCCGTGGACTGCGGTAATTAATCAGCTGTGAGTTTTCCAACCTAGCATTTCGGGAAAGGTTCTGGCAAGTCCATGTGTGGAGAAACCACTGGCTGTCATCCCGTTTCCACCCCGAGGCATCCTGTGAAGAGGAACCCATCACAGAGAGAAGAGAATAGAAGAATGAGGCCAATGCACCAAGTAATAACAAAAGGAAAAATGGATGTCTAAAATTAATGATGGTAACACATGTAACAATGCCTGCCATAGAATGGTTCTTTAATACCTGTTAGCTAAAAAGAAAAAAAAAGATTCCAGTCCCCAATTTAGCATCTATAAATAGTGCCAAGTTTTGGGAAATGTTAATTCTCTCTCTTAAGAAATGAGAATTAATATAATTTTTGCAAAATATGGAATTCTAAAAGCCAGTAATTCTTACAGAAGCTGGGATAAAATATGTACCTTAGAACAGACGATTGATCAGAAGACTTTCTGTGTTAAGTGTAAAAGTCCTTTGAGAATTTCGTGGCCAAGCAATTCTTGGGTCAAGGTACAGTCACGATAGTCACACAAGTGTTATTTACACCTTTACTCAGAAACAAAGCTGGATTATTTCTGTGATGAGCATGCTTGTGAAATGTGTTACCCTGGGATCCACAGCCTGGAGATCAGCATGAGAAGAGGGAAGATTAAGAAAACACAGCTCTGGGATGAGGACGACGTTATTGTGAATATATATATATATATATATCTGTGTTTGTGTGTATATGTGTGTATATGCACACACACATATACATGTATATATATACACACACACACACACATATATATATACAATTCAGCAAAGCAGATACCAAGCATAGGCCCATGACCCTATTTTTTGTGATGGTTTCTGAGAAATGGATAAAAAGTATACCCAGGAAAAAGAAAAACTGATAAGCCGTGAAAAAACAAGACTTTCAAAAAAATTGTTTGTATTCGTTAACTTTTGCTGTGACCACAAACAGCCTGAACATGTCAATGGCTTGCAGCAAGATCTCTTCTGTCTTGCTTTTGAGACATGAAGTGGAGACAGGGACGGGGCCGGCGGTGGCTCAACTGGACCTGCTCAGTTGGGCTCGGGTTGGCGTAACTCATGTCTTCTCACCCAGAACCCAGGCTGGAGGGACAGCCACCTTCTGGGATGTACTGATTCTGTGGTGAGACAAGTGAGAGAGCCTGGACCAGGCCACAGGGTCACATGCAAAGGCTCTGCTGTGCTAATAAATTATGACACCTCTCTCCAAGATCTGGGGAAAAAAAGCATGGTATTGAAAGGAGCCAGCACCTAACCCTTGTTAACAACTGGAGTTGACTAGTGCCGCATGTTCAAAAGGCATTAGGGGAACTGCAATGTCATGGGTGGGAGGGGAGGCTGTCACTCCACGTTATTGCTCTGGACGCCTTTTGAGTACCAGTGTGGGGGGCAGGCAGCTGACGGCAGCAGAAAGGCTTGGACGAGTGGCTTGGTTGAAGGGCGACTTGCTTCTGGTTCCTTCTGCTGTACGATGAAGAATGATTTCAGGTGGTGAGAATGGGTTTGAGCGATGGCAGAAAAAGTTGTACTATACAAAATAAAATTGAAATATATTGAACCTGAGCAAATCTTGGACTCAGTCACCAACTTCTTATTCTTGCTGGCAGGTAAGCTGCTGTCAGACCCCGCCTCACTGAGGCTCATGAAAATCTGAATTCTGCTGGCATGACATCAGATGCTCACACACTCAAGACTCCTCGAGGTACATTCCAGGTCGACAATCCATTGCTTGTAGAATCTTCAAACACTCTCTGGGGACCTCACTTTCTAGGACCCAGCTGTGGTAACAGGAACAGTGATGTTTGGGACTTGAGGTGAGCAGGGAATGAGCTCAGGGCAGGCTCTGGGAGATCCTACGTGGTTTTCATATCAGAGCCTGTTAGTTTCCTAGAGCTGCCATAACCAGTCACCGCTAACTGGGTGCCTTAAAACTACAGAAATGTATTCTCTCGCCGTTCTGGAGGCCAGCAGTCTGAAATCGAGGCCCTTTCTCAGGGCTCTAGGGGAGGCTCCTTCCTTGCCTCTTCCAACTCCTGGGGGCCGCAGGCACTCCTTGGCTTGTGGCCGCACCACTCCAGTCTCTGCCTCACCCTCATGCAGCCTTCTCCCCTGTGTGTGTTTTTCTTGTCTTTTATAAGAACTCTTTTCACTGGATCTAGGACCCACCATAGATGATATCCTCATTTCCAAATCATAATTACAGCTGCAAAACCCTCCCCACCCCCAGCAAGATATGATCATATCCAAAGGTTCCAGGGCCCAGGACAATGGACATATATCTTCTGGGAGCTACCAGTGGACTTGGAGCAGAGATCATCCAGGAGAAGCAGGACACCTGAGGGAGGATGTGCTGGTGGCATCTCAGTGAGCCTTATCGCTGGCGGCAGCACTGCGTGTCCTAGGAATTAGACTCGGGGCCAATGGCCGTGCTCAATCCTGGCACGGGTCTCCACTGGCCTCGGGCAGACTACTCAGACTCCCTGTGCCCCTGCTCCTTATCTGAGAAGTGGAGACAGCAGTAATCCCTGTAGCTGTTGGGAGGATTAAAGAGTAACATGCACGAAGTGATTTTAAGGGAACCTGCCCATGCCAGCTCTATAGAGTGTTAGCTTCATTTTTAACAGCCTTGCTGGAGATAAGGGTGTTGCCATCTATGACACGCATACTCCCAAGCCGCAGAGACACTGTTCAAGACCCCGAACCTGCATCTTCCTAAGGCCCTGTTCACTGCTCAGGCACCCTATGATAGCAGAGCAGTCCCTGCCCCATGTGTCCCTGTAAGGCGGTAGTTTCTACTTCTTCTAGGTGCCTCACATGGGCCTTGTCAGCACGTGCTGCCCTGTAACTTGCCTGGTGGCCTGCTGCGTGACCTGCCCTGTGGCCTGCCCGGGGGCTTTCCCTGTCACCTGGCCTGCGGCCTGCCCCGTGACCAGCACTGTGAACTGCCCAGTGGCCAGCCCTGTGACCTGCCCGGTGCCTGCCCTGTGGCCAGCACTGTGACCTGCCCAGTGGCCAGCCCTGTGGCCTGCCCTGTGACCTGTCCTGTGACCTGCCCTGTGGCCAGCACTGTGACCTGCCCAGTGGCCAGCCCTGTGACCTGCCCTGTGACCTGTCCTGTGACCTGCCCTGTGGCCAGCACTGTGACCTGCCCAGTGGCCAGCCCTGTGACCTGCCCTGAGGCCAGCACTGTGACCTACCCGGTGCCTGCCCTGAGGCCAGCACTGTGACCTGCCCAGTGGCCAGCCCAGTGGCCTGCCCTGTGACCTGCCACCTGCTTGCCTGCTGCTGATGTGCCCGACTCCTGCCTATGACTGCGTTCTCTCTCAGCCCTCAGCCTCCCTGTTCTCCTACCTCTCTCCAGCCCCTCGTGGTGCCCTCCCTGCTCCCGCTGCTGGAGGCTGTCCTACCCTGCTTTGGTGCTCTACAGATTTCCCGGGCTCCCACCCTCAGCCCTCACGTCTTACTCCATGCTCTCTTTCAGCCATCCCACCTCTGAGACGATATGGAGATTGACAGCCTGTAATTCTGAAATCTCCTAAACCCCTCTCTTTACATCTATCACAGCCTTGCCCCCACGCACAGGGCCACACACTCAGCTGCCTCCAGACGTCCCATGAGGACCTCAGCCTCACATCACTCCCTTGATTTCTCCTCTGGAATCTTCTGTTATGTTTTGCTCTCACTCTCTCCACCAGGCATTTGAGCTGGAACCATAAATCACAGGCGACTCTTCTGTTCCTCTCTTGTCCCACCAACCCCTGCACCCTCCCGTCTCCAGCCAACTCCTCTCATTTCTCATGTGGATCCATGCACCAGCCGGGGACCACTCTGTGCTGTGGATGAGTCCACACTCACCCCGGTCACCCTGGCAGAGGCTCTCTGCTGGGGTAGACAAAAGTCCTGTGAATTGTCCCTTCACAGGACTCCCCCGAGAGACTGTGCTCCAGCTGGATGGGACCCACAGTTCTTGCCCAAACCTTGAGGTGGCCCCAGATCTGCGTCAGCATTCGGACTGTCTAGTTTCATTTATCATATGGTTGTGATGGTTAATTTTACGTGTCAACTTGGCTAGGCCATGATATCCAGGTATCTGGTCAAACAATTCTGGATTCCTGTGAGGGCATCTTATTTTAAATGAGGTTAACATTTAAGTCAGGAGACTTTGAGGAAAGCAGATTAGCCCCCATAATGCGGGTGGGCCTCATCCCACCAGTGGGAAGCCTTCAGAGAAAAAGACTGACCTCCCACAAGGAAGAGGGAATGCTGCCTTCAGACCTGACCTGCTGGTTCAGCTCCTCCATGGGTCTCCAGCTGGCAAATTGTATACTTGCCAGTACCCTCAACTGTGTGAGCCAATTCCTTAAAATCAGCCTCTCTCTCTCTATCTATCTCCTGTTGGCTCTGTTTCTCTGGAGGACTCTGACTGAGATGATAGTGCATAAAAGGATAGTATACATGAGTCTGGGTCGGTACCCTGTCGTCAAATGCATTATTATTTTTGAAGAGAAATGTATAAATGCACGTGCTCAGTTGTATATAAGAAGATTATCACTAGCCTTCTATTCAGTCCAGATCATATCCTGCTGCAGAACGAGTGGCCACACCCCTAGGGTTTGAGGCCTGTTGGGATTTGGGACTGAGCAGGAGGAGTGTGAATCCACACTCCCCGCTCATCTGCAATCCTCAGGGCACCTTGCTACGTGGCCTCGAGCCAGTTTTCAGAGGAGAACATGGAGGATTGGAGAAGCTGAGCTTCCTGCCGTAGCTGTCCTCACTGCAGGTGACAAACAGAGGCTCCAGTACCCCCTGCCTCCCCTGCCTTGTGCTGCCTCGGGGCTGTGCAAGAATGTCCTCTGTAGATAGGATGTGATCTCATAAATGGCCCACCCCCCATCCCTGCTGACCAGAAGAGTCTATCAGCTACGAGGCAGACATACCTATGTTATGTGTTATGTGTTATGTGTAACATGTGCCAGCAGACATCAGAATCTGCGCTTCCTGTGTGCCACCGCAGGGGTCTTAGGGCGGGAAGACTGCACTGTGTGTTATAGAACCGGGGCTGCTTCCATCTGGGTTGAATGCTCCACAGGATGAGACCTGGGCAGGACCAGGGCACGTGGGACTCTCCCGGGTGAACTGGGGGTGGGTTCTTCCAGCTGAGGGGGAATTAACCAGAGTGGAGGGTCCGGGGGAAGGGGTGGATGGAATCCCCGGGCTGATCTTGCAGCAGTGAGCAATCTATTGGGTTATCGCTCCCAACCCTTGCTCCTCCATGCGCAGGATGCTGGGTGACTCTTAGCGCTGCGTTTCCCACTGGTTCAGCTCTTGGGAAAAGCATCCTCCCACCACACAGGCTTGTGCTGGACCATGTGAAATGGGCTGTTCATCCATCAGAGTGTGAGTGGCCAGACACTGGCCATGGCTGAGCAGAGCCTTTGCATGTGAACTTGGGGCCTGGCCTAGGCTTCCTCACTTGTCTCACCACAGAATCAGTGCATTTCAGAAGGTGGCTGTCCTTCCAGCCTGGGTTCTGGATGAGAAGACATGAGTTACGCCAACCCAAGCTAAACCAAGCAGGTCCAGCCGACCCTGCCCCTGTCTTCACTTCATGTCTCAAAACAAGACAGAAGAGATCTTGGTGCAAGCCATTGACATGTTCAGGCTGTTTGTGGTCACAGCAAAAGGTGACAAATACAAATAATTTTGTTGAAAGTCTTCTTGTTTCTTCATGGCTTATCAGTTTTTCTTTTTCCTGGGTATACTTTTCATCCATTTTCTCATACGTGTAATGAGGGGTTGACTGATGTCATTTATCATAGCCTCCAGTTCTCCAATTCTCCATTCTGTGTTTCTTACAGATGCCAGTGGGTACAGGTGCAGAAGTAGGTGCCATCCTGTCGATGTCTTCTGGGGGGACCTTGTATCTTTGAGCATTCAGTATGAATGTCTAACAACTGGAGTCGCAGAGAGCAACTGAGTGCAAAGAACTAAGTGCTTGGAAACCTCTGGACACCTTGGACACAGCTCTAGTTACCTGCAGCCCCTTTTATGCCTTGCTAGAGAAGCCTAGATCTCTGCAGCAGACATGGGTGAACATGTGGAAGCCACCTGTGACTCTCAAGCTCTGTCTCCCGACTCTGGTCTGCATCATCAGTATGGAGGACACAGGCACCCACCTTTCCCCCACTGGGCTCAATTTCAAGTCAATGTCCTGCAGGACTGCTTCTGACAGGTGGGGCCTCCTTACCTGCACACTCATGCAGGAAGGCTGGTAATTGTAAGCTGAGCTTCTGGTCTCTGCATGGGAGAAGGGCTGCACTGGTCTCTGAGTACCTGCACAGGTGTCTCTCTCATTTCTCTTTCTCTTCCTCTTACAAGAAGCAAGAGAAGTTGGTTTCTCTTTCTTTTTTGGAGGCTGCAATTACAGATTTAGAGGGAAACTTGAGATGAAAAGCAAAGCTCCCCTGTCCTTTTATTCCTCACCACACACAAAGCAGCTTAGAGTAGTGGGACTCCAGCTGCATTTCTCAAGAGGGCACTATTGGCATTTGAGGGGTACACTCTGTTGTGTAGGAGTGTCTCATGGTGTGTGGTGTCCCCAGGCTCCAACCTACCCTGTGCCCACAGAGTTACTTTGGTGGGCAGAAGAATCCCTCCCTACCAGCCAGCAAAGATGTCCTTCTCTTCAGAGCCTGTGAGTGTGTTGGGTTCCATGGCCAGGACAGTTAAGGCACTGAGTGGGATTAAGGTTGTAATCAGTCGACTTTACAATAAGGAGGTGTAGTCGTCTGTCTTCACACCGCTGTAAAGAACTGCCTGAGACTAGGTAATTTGTGAAGAAAAGAGGTTTAACGGGCTCATGGTTCTGCAGGCTTGACACGAAGCATGACTTGGAGGCCTTAGGAAACTTACACTCATGGTAGAAGGTGAAGGGGATGCAAGGACCATCTTCACATGGTGGCAGGAGAGAGAGAGGGAGGGGGAAGGGCTACACACTTTTAAACCATCAGATCTTGTGAGAACTCACTCACTCACTATCAATGAGACCAGCAAGGGGAAAATCTGCCCCCATGATCCAATCACTTCATACCAGGTTCTTCCCTTAACATATGGGGGTTAAAATTTGACATGAGATTTGGGTAGGGCCATAGCCAAACCACATCAGGAGGTTATTTTGGATTATGCAGGTGGGCACAATGTAACACAACATGCCAAGGACCCTTAGAAAGCAAGGGGAAGGCAGGAGAGGCAAAGTCAGAGAGAGAGAGAGAGATGTGAGGACAGAAGGAGAGGCTAGAGTGATGGGATTTCTAGCTTTGTGGATGGAGGAGGGGCCGGGAGCCAAGGAATGCAGCAGCTCCCAGAAGCTGGGAAAGGCAGGAAGCCAATTCTCCCCGCAGCCCCCAGAAGGAGTGCAGCTTTGCAAACAGCTTGATTTTAGTCCCATGACACTCACTTCAGAGTTCTCACCTTCAGAATTTATGGACTGAGTGTGTGTTGTTTAAGCCACTGCATTTGCAGTAATTTGCTACAGCAGCAAGAGGAAGCTGGAGAACACAGTTATCCAGGTGTTGTGACACCGAAAAACACCCCCTCACCTTTCCTAATGATGCCTGGGTGAGTGGCCATCCCCGTGAAGAGCCGTTCCGCTCAGTGTTGCAAAGGTAAAGGGTGAGGAAGGATCTGGGCAGCAGGGACAGAATGCCTTTGTTTGGCCATGCTGCTGTTAGAGTACCATAGGGATTTGATGGCCAGGGGACACCTCAGAAGCCTCAATAGGTACAGTATTGGGTTTTCAGGTAAACTAACACTAGAAGAGTTATTTATGCAATCAGCCAATCATTCAGTAACCATGTACCGAGTACCTTCACTGTGCTAATCAATGAAGAACAAAAAGAGAAATGACAGTCCCTATCCTAGAGACACCTCCAAGGGAGACATCCAAACAGATACTGATATGACAACATGACACTTTATATAAGGGTGACTACCAACATTGAGTGCTTGATGGGGGCCAGACACAGCACTCAGTACTTCACTCGCATCACCCCCAAGAACCTGAGAAAACAAATGGCACCCGAGTGGTAGATGTGGGAGCCGTGATGCAAAGCCAGGTGCATTCGTGCAAAGCTAAGATGCTGTAACAGAGACCTCAAATGTCATCACAGTAGCTAACAAATGGGGATGCCATATTCTAAGTGTTTTACATTTATTACTTCATTTGATTCTCACAACAAACCCAGGTGATACGTGGACTCAGTGTCCCCAGTGCAGTGAGGAGAATTCTGGGGCACACGGAAATGAAGTCATTTGCCCAAGGCCATACAGTTATTAAGTGGTAGGGCTAGGATTTGAACTCAAAAGGTGAGCCCCAAGTCCCTGATATACCCATTATGTCATACTATTGATACTATCTTCCTAACTGTCCTAAAACATTGCCTTGTTTTTCTCTCACTCAACTGTTCTGAGATAAGTAATCCATTTAGGTGGAGAATCTCTGCTCCACTGGGCATTCTAAGATCCATGTTCCTTCCAAACCATTGCTCCTCCATCCTCAGGGGCTCTACTGGCTGATACAGTTGCCGCTGGTGACATGTGACTATTTTAATTTTAATTAATTTAAATACATTTAAAGACAATTGAAATTTCAGTTCCTAGTTGCACTAGCCATAGCTCAAGTGTCTAGTGGCTCGCGTGTTGGACAGCACAGATCTCAAAACACTTCTATTATCTCAGAGTGTTCCACTGCTCTGGGGTACTGTCACCTGCCTGGTGGGACCAATCACCAGCACATCAGGGACAGCCTGAAGAAGATGCACCTGATGCCTCATGTTCCCACCCCGAGCAGATACCCATCATTCCTGCTCCCATCCCTTAGTGCAAAGGCCACAGCTCACTTCAGGGAAGCCTGGGTGTGTTAGTCTGTTCTCACACTGCTATAAGGACATACCTGAGACTGGGCAATTTATAAGGGAAAGAGGTTTAATTGACTCGCAGTTCCACAGGTCTGGGGAGGCCTTGGGAAACTTATAATCATGGCAGAAGGGGACACAAATACATCCTTCTTCACAAGACAGCAGGAGAGAGAAGAATGAGAATCGAGTGATGGGGGAAGCCCCTTATAAAACCATCAGATCTCATGAGAACTTACCATCATGAGAATAGCATGGGGAAAACTGCCCCCATGATTCAATTACCTCCCACCGAGTCCCTCTCATGACACGTGGGGATTATGGGAACTACAATCCAAGATGAGAATGGTGGGAAGACACAGCCAAACCATACCAACGGGAAACACAGACAGTGGGTAGCAATGGGTCTGGCTTCAATTCCATTTCTATGGCAGAAGGGCAGAGCAGGTTTCATTGGGATGCAGGCAGTAACCACTAAACGCATTCTGTCTAAAGGTGGAGACGGTTCTCAGCCTCTAGCAGATTCTCTACCTCTGAGGAGGGAACAGGGCCCAGATGTGTCAGAGCTGACCAGGAAGCTATTAATTCTGCCTGAGGCAGTAAGCAAAAGCTTCACCAACATGCTGACATTTATTTCAGATTTCCCCAAGTAAAGCAGAAGGTATGGAAGAAGACTTTAAAGCAGAGAAAAGAAACCAGCAAAGGCAAAGAGGCGGGATTGGTGAGGGTCCCATGAGGCTGTAGGGCACTGGTCAGTGGGAAGGTGGTATCAGATCAGGTGGTAAGGATTTAGAACTTGTTCTGAGGACCAGCGATTCTCAAAGGAGAAATGAGGGCTGCAGAGCAGCTTCCTGGAGGTCGACTCTTTTCACACTACTTGTCTCACCCCTCCGAGAATCCTTTCCCTCTGCCAGGGGCACATGCACCCACTCCTCTCCTCCTGCCTCACCCAGAGAATTGGGGTAATAGAGTGAGTACATGGTCATGGGGATGGGGCTATGCAGAGAGAGGATTTTAACATCCCTGGTGTAGACAGCGGGGTGATGTCAGGAGGTTTTAGGTTGAGGAATGACATCATCAAATACATTTTTGGAAGAAGGAGCCAGTATACAGCACAAAAAGGAAAGCTTGGCTTTGCACATTTTGGGTAGAAACTGATAGAAGGAAGCCACGTTTACCAAATGCCTTCTACATTCCAGGTGCCATGCGAGATGCTCCACACATCAATAGGCACATTTCTTCTATTTCCAGGAGGAGAAATCTGATGTAAGTGAATCCAGCAGGGATCTGTTCACTGGGTGCAGCGAAGTCAAAGACTGATGTTGGGATAGTAGCAAGAGAAAGTGAGGCGTTTATGTAGGGCCCCAAGCAAGGAAAATCAGGCATCCCATGTTCAAGACCCAACTCCCAGATGGCTCATAGGTGAGGGTTTTTACCAACGTGGAGGCAGAGGTTACAAGTAAAGTCATAAATTCAAATATGGAGACTATACGTTGGTTTGACCTAAAAACGTAGGACAACTGGAAGTTGGGGGCCCACAGGTTATAGGTGGATTTAAAGATTTCTGATCTGTGATTGGCTAAGGAGGCAAAGCTTTGTCTAAAAATGTGGGATCAGCAGAAAACAATGTTATTAGGTTGGTGCAAAATTGCACGTTTTGCCACTGAAAGTAACAGCAAAAAAAAAAAAAAAAAAAACCTGCAATTACTTTTGCACCAAACTGATAGCTCTAACTTGTGGGTGTGACGTTCCCAGGCCCCTTAGGAAGAAATTTAGAACAAAGAACAGTGACCAGAGTTTAGTTTTTAGTTTCCCTTAATTTGAGGTCTATGTGTTAGCAAATCTGTTTGGTGGGGGTTCAGGTTTTTGAAAAATAACTCAGGGACATATGTTAAGGTGTTATTTTCAGTTTTTATAGGGAATAACATATCTCTTGACTAACTTTTTTGGCTACTGTTTTAAGCTACTATTATCTTTTTGTTTATTCAGTTATTTTTCAGTGTGAGCTAGGTGCCTGGAATTTTTCCTGAAGGAACTTAAGAGTTTTCTTTATTTCTTCACTGGGCAGGGGGTGACCTGCAGGCCCCTAGGAGGAGTCCCTGCTCCATCTCACTGAAGACCAAGACAATTCTAGAAATGGGCCAAAGTCATATACCAAAGAAGTACTGGGGCTGCGTCCCTTCCTGGCCATACCTGAGCTCCACTTTAGACAGCCAGGGGGACATAAGAAATGCCATTTGGGGTCACTGAGGGCTCAGTGTGGTCATGAGCTCCTTGGTGGGAAAGTACAATGGCTCTAGTTTCTTTTTTTTTTTTTTTTTTTTTTTGAGACGGAGTCTCGCTCTGTCGCCCAGGCTGGAGTGCAGTGGCGGGATCTCGGCTCACTGCAAGCTCCGCCTCCCGGGTTCACGCCATTCTCCTGCCTCAGCCTCCCAAGTAGCTGGGACTACAGGCGCCCGCCACTACGCCCGGCTAATTTTTTGTATTTTTTTAGTAGAGACGGGGTTTCACCGTTTTTTAGCCGGGATGGTCTCGATCTCCTGACCTCGTGATCCGCCCGCCTCGGCCTCCCAAAGTGCTGGGATTACAGGCGTGAGCCACCGCGCCCGGCCCTCTAGTTTCCAACATTGTCATTTATGAATTAAGTAGAATGAATGCTGCATTTATTTATATTGTAAACAAAAATTTATATTGTAAAAACAACCCCCCCCCCAAAAAAACCCACCAAACACTCAACTTTTTAGCTTAATAAATTCAGCGAACTCTATTTCTTATTGCAGAAGCAAAAATTCTCTCATTTGTTTGCTGTGGTAAGAATATGATGCCTGAAGGATCAGATACTCAACTCTACACCCTTTCTTGGCAAAATATTTACCCAAGTTTCAATTTCTTCATGAGAAAATGGGGAGCAATCATACCCAGCCTAGGGAGGATTGTTTTTGATAATTATATTTAATATATGTAAAATACCTAGTACAATCCTTGACTTTGGATAGGTTGTCAATAAATGGCATCATCATCATCATCATCATCATCATCATCATCATCATTACTGTTGCTTATCCTAATGTGGCACCCACAAGAATGCATCTTTCAGATATCTGATGGTAAGGGCAGAATTAACCAAGGGCCCTAATGCTCTCCTTTGAAATCTATTGCACTTTTTGCCTCCATGGGCTGCTCAGCCAATGACTGAGTGAGTGATGCAGGAAGGCTAAGGTTTGTCCATTCCTGGGGACTCTGCTGGTGAGCGATTTTGGTTTGGGGGCTTCTCAGTGGTCTTACCAAACTCTCCTTAGGACTGTACCACAGTCTAAGATGCTTCTAGACTCCCTTTGTTTCCTCCCTCCCTCCCTCCTTCCTTCCCTCCCTCTCTCCCTCCCTTCTTTTGGGATCAGACCTGCATTTTGTTCTGATGGTTCTTCCAGCCATGCTGGTTCCCTTTTTCTGTCACATGTATTTCTTCTAAGAAAGTTCTTGTTTAATCCCATCCTGGGATCTGCTCCTCAGAGGACGTGGACTAACGAAACTACAGCCACCTTCTAGAAAGTGAAGGAGGTGAGCCCAGTTCTCTTGTCTTGCGTATTAATAGCCAGGTATTTGTTCAAAGTTGTGCAGATGTTGGTCCTGTCTCCTCTGAGCTTCCATCCTCCATAATGAAGAATTTTCATATATTCTTACTTAGTTTTCTGAAAAAGCGCTTTCTTTTTGCTTTTTTCAGATGCTTTCTGCTGTACAGTCTCCTGGTTATCTGTCTTTCTTGATCAGAACCGGAGCAGGTGTTCCAGGCCTGCGTGCACCACGATTTTCTGCAAGGTAAGACTTTGTTTTCTGGGTCATCCACAATGAGAAGAGCATATGTGAGAAGAGAAATTGAGCATAGCTCATTTCTCTTTGGAGTGTTTAAGACAAACTTAGACTTCAACTGAAAGTCATTAATTTTTACAAAACGCTATGAGATAACAGGGCTTACACCGTGTGCCGAAAGACCCAGGAGGGTGAAGTTGCTATGCAGCCTAGAAAAGTTTGTATTTCTATGCTTGTGTGTATAATCTGCTAAGGAGTTAGATGTCTTACCTTATCCCTATTTCTGTAATGCTGTCCTGCCCTCTCTTTTGAGCTTGTGACAATTTGTAAAAAAAAAAAAACAACAAAACAACAACAACAACAACAAAAAAACAAAGCTGATAGTGAAAGCCAACTGCATACTTCCATTTGCTGATTGGATCACATGCCAGTCTGTATTAGTGTAATCTCATCTTTTTGCTTTTAAAAATTTGATCACATACATCACACAGAATTCCAGGTAGAGCTGCACATTGCTGCAAATATTGCATAGAAAGGAAAACAGAAGAGAAGAGAAATCTTACGGCTTCTCAATGCTTGTTAGTGTAAAAAAAGATACAATTTCTATTTTTTTATTGCACAAGTCAGGCACTCTCATTGGTATGTGAATCTAATAGAATGAACGGGAAACCTAATTTATTTGAACATTCATGTGTCAATGTAGCTCTTGAGGGAAAATAATGTCAGCATTTTCTATCAGATGAAATTATTCTGTCTCCTAATTCTGTATTTAGGGATACTTTTTTGGCTTTCTTTTGACCACATATGGTTCAAATTATAGTAGCTTCCTTTAGGGTTATGAAGAATAAATGAGACAGTCTATAATCTATAAAATATGTTCCAAAATGGCAGATATTGTCATCAGTATGATCATGACCATCACCATCATCACCGTCATCATCATCACCATCATCATCAAACAACAGAGTTGCAAATCTTCCCTTCTGCTAGAACTACTAATGTGCTGAAAATCTTCAAAGTGAGAAGCAGAAACCAGCTGTTCCTTCCTCTGGGTAGGAGAGCTGCATTTTTTTTTTTTAAACTTAAGCTGAATCTGGCTCTTAGAATAAATTAGAATGAATGGCAAAACATGTTCCAAATGATACCACTAAGGGCTTTGGATGCTGATGGAGCGATAATAGTGTGAATGAAAAAAAAAAAAAGGTAAAGAAGAAGGGAAAAAACAGCCTCCAGATTTCAAGGTCACCAAGTATCAGAAGTAAGGAAATTTCCTAGGGGCAGCTCATGTCGACTTCGGAGGGAAAACAAGGCGACAAAACGTATAGTCAGCAATGCTCTGTAGGCTTTCTGCACACGGCTTCCTACCAGGCCGACCTTCTGACTTACTGGAATTTTCCAACCTAATTTCATTTACATTTGGGGACTGGAGTGTTGAAATGTTAAAACGTTTCTTATAAACAAGCCAACAGTATTATGTTGCTAAATAAAGGGAAAGCAGCCATTACTTAGCTGTTTGAGTAAAAGGAAGAATTTCAATGTAGGTTTTTTGTTTGTTTATCTTTTTGTTTATTTATTTTTTTTTTTGAGACGGAGTCTCGCTCTGTCTCCAGGCTGGAGTGCAGTGGCGCGATCTCGGCTCACTGCAACCTCCGCCTCTTGGGTTCAAGCGATTCTCCTGCTTCAGCCTCTTAAGTAGCTGGAATTACAGGCACCTGCCACCACACCCAGCTAATTTTTGCATTTTTAGTAGAGACGGGGGTTTCACCATGTTGGCCAGGATGGTCTTGATCTCTTGACCTCGTGATCTGCCTACCTCGGACTCCCAAAATGCTGGGATTACAGGCGTGAGCCACCGTGCCCGGTCTCAATGTAGGTTTAAGTGGGCTTGGGATGCTTTTTGTTTCAGCAGGGAACAATCTTCACTGGAGTAGTCATTGTGGACAACTGGGAGATGAGTGCTTTAGAAACTGTAGCTGATGGTTAATCACAGGGACTAACACCATCATTATGCTCGTTATGGCCTGGTCCTGAATTAAACATCCCGCGATCACAATACAGACAACGAGTGCTGCTGGTCTTGAGCAGAGAAGGAGGGGTGTTACAGTTGAGTTATATCCCCTCAAAAAAGATATGTTGGAGTCCTGACCTCCAGCGCCTCCAAACGCAACCTGATTTGGAGATGGCATCTTCACAGAGGTAATTCAGTGAAAAACTCCAGTCATCAGGGTGGGCTCTAATCCAACCCGACTGGCGTCCTCATGAAAAGGGGAAATTTTGGCCACAGAGACACACACAGGGACAACACCGCGTGAAGCTGGAGGTGGAGAGGAGGGATGCTTCTGCCAGCCAAGGAACAGCAACCACTGCCAGCAACCACCAGCAGCCGGGAGAGAGGCCTAGAACACGACAGTGAAGCTTCCGGCTGTGTCCAGGACTTTAACAAACATGTTCCTGAAGTTTCATTATTGAGTCTAATGCTTTCTCTATGTTCTTAGTAGATAAAACATCTTTCATCAGGTTTAGAAAGTTCTTTTCTATTCTTAGTTTTCTCAAAGGTTTCTTTTTAATTTAATTTAATGTAATTTTATTTTATTGAGATGGAGTCTCGCTCCGTCGCCAGGCTGGAGTGCAGTGGTGCGATCTTGGCTCCTGCAGCCTCCGCCTCCCAGGTTCAAGGGATTCTCCTGCCTCAGCCTCCCGAGTAGCTGGGACTACAGGTGCGTGCCTCCACGCCCAGCTAATTTTTGTATTTTTAGTAGAGACGGGGTTTCACTATGTTGGCCAGGATGGTCTTGATCTGTTGACCTCGTGATCTGCCCGCCTCAGCCTCCCAAAGTGCTGGGAATACAAATGTAAGCCATCATGCCCAGCCTCTTTTTTATTTTTAAATCATGATTTGGGTTCAATTTTATTAATATCCAGTGTCTACTTAAAAAATCTACCTGAGGTATTTTATCTCCTTTAATCCTTAACAGACTGTTATAATAATGGATTTTATGATATTTCATAATTCATGCAATCCTAGGAAAAGCACAATGGATCATAACTTTTTTCCCAATGTGATGGGTGACAGGTTGTATTTTTCAAAAACAGCTTTGTGAAAGGAAAATAAATCTTGGGACCCCAAAATCACTAAGCCAAAAGGAAAAGCCAAGTTGGGAACTGCTTAGGGCGAACCTGCCTCCCATTCTGTTCCTAAAAAACGTAGCTACTAAGATTAAAAAGCGACATAACTCCCTCACAAGGAATTTCTCTGTGGACAAAGGACAGACAGAATTCAAAGTTGCCCTCTGCTCACTGAGATAAATGCATATCTGATTGCCTCCTTTGGAAAGGCTAATCAGGAACTCAAAAGAATGCAACGATTCGTCTCTCACCTACCTATGACCTGGAAACTGCCTCCCTGCTTCTAGTTGCCCTGCCTTTCCGGGTGGAACCACTGTACATACATATATTGACTGATGTCTCACGTCTCCCTAAAATGTATAAAACCAAGCTGTGCCCTTGGGCCCATGTTGTCAGGACCTCCTGAGGCTGTGTGACAGGCAGGTGTCTTTAACTTTGGCAAATAAACTTCCTAAATTGACTGAGACCTGTCTGTCTCAGATACTTGGGGTTCACGGCTTCAACAAGTTCTCATCTCACCTGCTCCTCTATCAATGTGACTTCTTACTTCTTCCACCGGGAAGACAGGTTATGTTCCCTCCCTGGGGATCTAAATGTGCCCTGGCTGTCGGGGGACTTCCCAGGCAAGGTCATAAGAGGTGGTGCTGCTTTCACCTGCTTCTCCTGAGCTCTGTGCTCTTGGCACCCTGCCACCATCAGGGAGGAAGCTCCCAAATCCCAGGGACACACCCACACGGGGGGGATGTGTGGTCGCCAGCCCACAGCCCCGCTGAATAAGCCATTGTGAAAGCAGGTCCTTCAGCCTCCAGTGAAGCCACCCCAGCCCATGTGACATGGAGCAGAGAGAAGCTGTGAACGCCATGCACAGGCCACAATGCAGATTTGTGGGTAAAATGAAGGACTGAGGTTGTTTTACGCCACTAAGTTTTGGCATGGTTTGCTATACAGCAATAGATGCCTGATGCATGACAACTGATCTAATTCTGATAATATCTTACTTAAGACTTTTGTATCTACTTTCATAAGGAAGATTGACCTATATTTTCTTGTATTGTCCTTGATGATTTTCATATAAAAGTTATACTGCTCTTTCAAAATGAGCTGGGATGTATTTCTTCTTTTTCTAGTCTCTGAATGTATCTGGGTAAGTTTGAAATTATTTGTTCTTTAATGTTTGATTTTTAAACAATTAGTATAAAAAACTGTCCGAGCTTATGTCTCTCCTATCTTTGAAAGAGATTTTTGCCTACTGGCCAGTTTATTGAAAGACTAGGAACTATTCTAATTGTTTATTTTTCTTAAGTTAATTTCTGGTAGTTTCCTAGAAAATTGTTTATATCTTCTAAGCTTTCAAAATTATGAACATATAAGTTTTACCCTCACCCTCACTCATTTATAATACTGTATATTTTTCTCTTTTAGCACCTTTCTTTTCTTCTTCTCTGATGAGACTTGCCAGAAGTATATATATTTGACTCATCTTTTCAACAATCAACTTTTCTTCATTTTTATCTTTCCAGCTTCGAATGCAGCTAGACAGAAAACTAATGCAATAGTTCTCATTTTCATCAGTGTCTGTCTTTACTTTTGTCACCCCTTTTTATGTATTTTTTGGTGCCTGTGATTTCCCTTTTGATTCTTTTTATCCTACTCTTTGAGTTGAAACTCCAGTTTATTTTTTCCAGGCTGTTTTCCCTCAAATTATTACCTCAGGAGTAAAGCAGAAGTTTGACAGGGAATTCTTGTCATTTAATTCCAAATGTTTTATAATTTTCCTTTTAAATAGGATGTCCACATAACGTATCAACCAAACTGGGACATGTTTGACAGTGAGTGGAAGAGTGCTATTAATAATCACACGAAGACAACAGACATAATTGGGTCTTGCCCATTCTCAGATGTATGTAAACTCATGAATTATTTAGAGTGTGTTTTGATTTTCGAACGTGTATGTATGTGTAGAAAATGAATAAATTCATAGATTTCTACTGGAATTACGAGGTCAGAAAATCTGGTCTATGTGATAGGATCTGAGTTTGCTGAAACTTTCTTTGTGGTCTAGGGAATGGTCAAGTTTTTGTAAGTATTTGAAATGTGCTTGGAAACAATCTATTCTTCAGGGGTCACTGTTTTTCAGAGATCACAATTCTTAATATATTACTTAAGTCTTCCATATTCTTCATATGCTTTTTGGCCTACTTGATTTATTGTTTTCTGATAGAGGTACTCCAAATCCTCTGTAATAATTATGGATTTTGAATTTTTCCTCATATTTTGTCAATTTTTGTGCTAGATAATATGGGACTATGTTGTCAGTTGCTTATAGGTGAATAGTATTCTATCTTTAATGAGTCTTCTCTTTACCATTAAAAGCATCTTTTTAATGTTTCTTTACTAACTTTTATATGCATTAACAACTTTCTTTTGGTTGCCTGCCATATATTATTCTATCCTCCCTCTTTATTTTCAACCTGTCTATAAGTTTGTTTTAGGTGTACCTTTGAAAAGCAACATAGCTAGATTAAAACAACAAAACAAAACACTTCCAATTGGATTCTAATCTGAGAGTCTACCCTAACAGTTAAATCTGTTAACATTTAACTGTTAGGATAGACTAACAGTTAAATGTTAAATTAAATAATTAATTAATTAATTAAATTAATTAAATGTTAAATCTGTTAACATTTACTGTGTTCACTAACGTATGTTTTTAGTGGGGAAGGCACACATTTAATGACAGGGAACACAGTTCATGATACACTTTTTAATTTTATTTTTAATTAACAAATAATAATTGTCTATTTTTATGGGGTACAGATGTTAGAGGCATTTGAAGCAGAGCAACTCCATCTTGAATAGGAGCTGGGTAAAATAAGGCTGAAACAAACCTACTGGGCTGCATTCCCAGATGGTTAGGCATTCTAAGTCACAAGATGAGATAGGAGGTCGGCACCAAATACAGGTCATAAACACCTCACTGATAAAACAGTTTGCTGTAAAGAAGCCAGCTAAACCCCACCAAAACCAAGATGGCAACGAGAGTTCTCACTGCTATACTCCCACCACTGCCCTGACAGTTTCCAAATGCCATGACCTGTTAGGAAGTTACCCTAAATGGTCTAAAACGGGGAGGCATAAATAAGCCACCACTTGCTTAGCATACAATCAAGAAATAACCATAACAGCAAGTAACCAGTAGCCCTCGGGCCGCTCTGCCTATGGAGTAGCCATTCTTTATTCCTTTATTTTACTAATACACTTGCTTTTACTTTACTATATGGACTCACCCTGAATTCCTTCTTTCACAAGATCCAAGAACTCTCTCGGGGTCTGGACTGGGACCTCTTTCTGGAAACACAGATATCTCTTTGACATAGTGATTTCAATTCCTTTGAGTATTGTGAAAGGAAAATAAATTTTGGGGCCCCCAAATCACTAAGCTAAAGGGAAAAGTCATGCTGGAAAATGCTCAGGGACAACCTGCCTCCCATTCTATTCAAAGTGATCCCTTTGCTCACTGAGATAGGTGCATATCTGATTGCCTCCTTTGGAAAGGCAAATCAGAAACTCAAAATAATGTAACTATTTGTCTTTCACCTACCAGTGACCTGGAAGCCCCCTCCCTGCTTTGAGTTTTCCCGCCTTTCTGGACAGAACCAGTGTATACCTTACACTTACATATTGATTTATGTCTCATGTTTCCCTAAAATGTATAAAACCAAGCTGTGCCCTGACCACCTTGGGCTCATGTCATCAGGACCTCCTGAGGCCGTGTCATGAGTGTGTGTCTTCAACCTTGGCAAAATAAACTTTCTAAATTAACTGAGAACTGTCTCAGATATTCAGGGTTCACAGTATATACTCAGAAGTAGGACTGCTGGATCATATGGTAATTCTGTTTTTAGAGTTTTGGGAAACTTCCATTCTATTTTCCATAAAGGCTGCACTAATTTACATTCCCATCAACAGTGTACAAGGGTTCCCTTTCCTCCACATTTTCACCCACACCCATTGTCTTTGGTCTTTTTGATTATAGCCCTTCTAACAGTGTAAGGTGACATCTCATTATGCTTTTAATTTGTATTTCCCTGATGATATGTGATGCTGAGCATTTTTGCTGGTCATTTTTATGTCTTCTTTTGAGAAGTATCTGTTCAGGTCCTTTGCCCATTTATAAATTTCTTCTTTTGCTTTTTTGCTGTTGAGTCGTGTGCCTTTAATTTTTGCACTTTACGTTGTGAGTTTTATTTTCCATGCTTGTTCTTTGCTTCTTTATTCTCTTCTTTTCTTGCCTTCTATTGAGTTGATTGTGTTTTCTTTATTCCCTTCCCCCTGTCTACTAGTTTGGGAATTATATATACTAGCAAAGAGATACCCTTAAATTTTTAAAATAAATACTTACCAAAGCCTAAGTTCCATCAATTATCTATCTTTCTTACTTATGAAATTGAGAAAGGCCGTTCACTCCATGTCGCTACCTCTACCTAATAACTTAAAATTTTTTATTTGTCTAATATTTTATTTCCACCTTTTTTTTTTTTTTTTGAGTCTTGCTCTGTTGCCCAGGCTGGAGTGCAGTGGCATGATCTCGGCTTACTGCAACCTCTGCCTCCTGGGTTCAAGCAATTCTCCTGTCTCAGCCTCCCAAGTAGCTGGGACTACAGGCGCACACCACCATGTCTGACTAATTTTTGTATTTTTAGTAGAGACAGGGTTTCTCCATATTGGTCAGGTCGGTCTCGAACTCCTCACCTCAGGTAATCCACCTGCCTTGGCCTTCCAAAGTTCTGGGATTACAGGCCTGAGCCACCACGCCCAGCCTCCATCTTGTTTTATAATTCCCTAAAGTTAATTGTTGTTAAATCAGGAGAGAAGTATTTTATGTAACATTTCTGTTTATCAGCCCAGCCCACCAACTGGAGTGCCCTGATTCCATAAGTTTGGCAAGTCACTTACCTTCTCTGGCTTTCCATTTCTGGTCACAGCTGGGAGAGGCTCTGAAGATCATCTAGCAAAGGAGCTCCCTCACTTTGCCTGTTTCTAGGCACTGAAAAGTACAGGCCACAAATATATTCAGTAAAATAAATCACTTGAGAAATTCAAACAGGCTAGAGGAGATATCCGCTATCATAGGAGATCGGGCAGAAAAGTTTCTTAAACATAAGAGTGAAATGACCTAAACTGAATTTCAATGAGATAAACAGCAGTTTACTAAGACAGGGCAACCCCACAGGGTGCTGTTTGGTCAGAATTGGCCCGAGGAGGTGAGACCCTGACCTACGAAGGCAGCAGGTGTCCGGGAAGCATGGTTAGCAGCAAGAGCTAGGGGAGGTGGCCGCCGATTACATAGAAGAAAGGAGGCAGGCAGGCGCTGATCCCAGGGGTTCTGGTAGAGGGGCAGGGAAACTACCGTTATTGGTCCTTCATGCAAACTTTAGGATTTTCATCCATGTGTGTATTGCTTGAAGATGCTGCATTGCAGAAAGTCTTCAACTTCTCCCATGACCGAGGCAGGTCTGATGAGAGTGCAAACAGTTAGTACTCGCCCAGCTGCGCGCCGAGGCCTCCTCCAGAATCCAGACCGCATCCCCGAAAGCCCGCCCTGCCCCGCACTTAGGCCCCGCCCCAACACGCCCGTCCCGATAACGAGGCTCCGCCCCCAAGAGCTCGCCCGCGCTCCCCCAGAGGAAACGGAAGTCGTATCTGTCCGGACGGAAGCAGGAAGCGGGAGCGTAGGGCCACGCCTGCGGCGCTGCTGGTTGAGGCTGTGTGGGTCGGGGACGGGCCGAGGCGATGGCGGAGAAGTTTGACCACCTAGAGGAGCACCTGGAGAAGTTCGTGGAGAACATTCGGCAGCTCGGCATCATCGTCAGTGACTTCCAGCCCAGCAGCCAGGCCGGGCTCAACCAAAAGCTGTGAGTGGCGGCCCGAGGCTGCCGGGGTCTCCCCAGGGCCTGGCCGGGAAGCGTGTGCTAGGGGAGCGGGGATCTAGGGAGCCCGAGCCGAGCCTGACCGCTACTCGTGCCCCGCCAGCCCTCTGGTCTGGTCCCGGAGCCCGGGGCGCCTTTCCTGGCTGTGTTCAGAGGGCGGGGCCCGCGCTCCAGCCTGTTGCCAAGAGCCAACCTCTTTGAGGCCCCTTTGGAGACGTCGTCATGGCCAGATGATATACTTTACGTTTCCCTATCAAGGGAATCATGCTTTCTCTTCTAGCGTCTCCCCTCTCATGTGTAACCCCCTCCCAGCCTTTTCCTCCTGGAGCCCTTCTGGGAATTCAGTCCCTGTCTCCAGAGGGGAGGCAGGCTCCACAGTGAGTGCACGCCCTAAACTAGGCCTCAGAAGGTGAGGCTCCGAAGCCACCTGCCGCATAGGCCTGACAGTGGAGGAAATAGCGGGGAGGTGGTGCTGAGAAAGGTTGCAGAACGTTTATTATTATTATTTCTTGGCAACAGCCTTGTGCTGCCCATGTTGCTAGGCCCTGGGTTGGAGAAAAGGCAAATGCAAGTACAGCACTTTCGAGAAGGGCTTTATATGTGGCACGGACATAGAAAATGTTGCACTCGAGGTTCCATACCTAGTGCTGTGGGAATAGCCAGACCAGCCTGATGCTGTAGGAAGGCTCCAGAGAGGAGAGGAAGCTAAACCAGACAGTATGGCTTTCTTTCCCTCAGACTTTGAGTATAGTCCGCTGCCTCATGTGTTCGCTGAAACCGCACACACAGTCATATGCACAGTCAGGTAATTGTTTTTGAGAGAAGGTTCATATTTTTCATCAGGTTCCCTCTCCATCCCCCTTACTGGCAATTTCTAGTTGAGAAGGAAAGTAACAAATATTTAAGGGTATTTTGTAACTCTAACGGTGTCCTAGGAATCCTGTAGCTAACCAAAGAGGTCAGAACCGTGTGTAACCCGCATAGCTGTGAGGAGAACGAACTTGCGTGGAGCCCCGGTTGGCTGGGTAGCTCTGTGGGTGGTGCTTATGCTGTCAAGCGAAATTAACCAGATGCCTGTGTGTTTGCCTTTCCCCCAGGAATTTTATTGTTACTGGCTTACAGGATATTGACAAGTGCAGACAGCAGCTTCATGATATTACTGTACCGTTAGAAGTTTTTGAGTAAGTAACATTCTTGATATTAGTCTTGGGTATAAATCTTGTTCAGTTATGGTGTGGTATCGTGACTTCTTCATCACTGGCATTCGAGTGCCTGCTGTGTGGTAGGCACAGCCTGGGTGCTGGGGATGTGCCAGTGGAAAAAAAAATAGACAAAAATACAAAAATACCTGCCCTTATGGAACTTCCGTTCTAATGGCATTACAAAACGAAAAAAAAGAATATCCTTAATATTCTATTGTGGAAAAAAAGTTACATGTAAATAAAAGCTTATTAAATATATGAAATACATCATAGGTCCTCAAAGCCCTGCTTAGGCTAAAGAACAGCCACAAAACTTTCTTTTTTCCTTAAGAGGTGAAAAGTCCTATGAGGGCTATATTGTAAATTTTTAAAAAATGGCAGCCAGAAGCACCTGAAAAGCAAGCTGGTCTGATGTTCCCAAACTGCCCGTGGAGTGCTAGTTCTGAGAGGTGAAAATATCTGCTCTGTCGAAGGAGGAAAGAAAGGGTTCTTATTCCAAGTATGTTTGGGGAGGCTGCTCACTGTTTTCTGTGCGAGAGTTGTGTGCACCTATGTTAGTAATAGTCCTGAGAACACATACAGGAATGAGCTTTTAGATTTTTAAAATCCAGGTTTTCTTGCATTGATTTGGTCACATCTCTGATTTCACACATGAAGGACCTGATAAGTAACTGCAATAGGTTGTTTACCTAGTAAGTGTCAGAGTTAAGACGAAACCCCCGGACTCATACTTTCTTGACCAGTGCAAAGCAGCCTCTCCCTGATGGTGCTGGCTTGGAACAGCAAGAACATTCTAGTATTTCTTGCAGCAAAACTGCAAATGTAAATCACTAGATTTCGTTAAGCAGTAAAGGGAAAGAGTTATGGCTGTTTTCCATCCCAAAAGGTCAGAGATACAAGTTCTAGCTATAGTGCAGCAGCTGCCTACAAAGACAGGACACAGAGGTGGTTTTCTTGGTCTCTGATCTTCTGTTCACCTGCTGATGACTTTGCCCCATGTTCCTTACCTGTGCTCAGTGGGCACCACTGAGGTCTCTGACTTCAGGTGGGACGAAGGTCTTGCACCTCAGGTAGCTCCAGACTCAGCTTTGGCTTTCTCAGTCCAGGAATACAGAGCATCCTCCTTTGTGCTCTTCTGATTATGAATGCAGGGGATGCATATAGTGACAAGTGGCAAGTAACTACTTGTGTCTTCTGAAGCAGAACAAATGGAGACTGATGTGAACAGACTGCTTAAGGGCCGAGGGAAGTGCTGGGCACGGGGATGGATGAGATTGACCTGGGGTATCAGGAAGAGTATGCCAGTGAGCCCTAATACAGAGCAGATGCTGGGAGTTTATCTGCAAATCGGTGGTTGGTGTCTACCCAATGTAGAAGGAATTTCCAGGTCCCAGTGGCCTTTGCAGCGTGTACATTTTCATACACACCAACTGTGTCTTTAGCTAAGGTGAAAGCAGCTTGGCCCTTGTCTCCAGGACTTTGTGTGTGGGCAGGAGTGGGTTCACCCTTCGGTCTTCAAAGAACCAAGTCTGAGCAGGATGTCCATGCTGTTGAAGAAACGACCGTCAGCTGACATGGTTAACCTTATTCTGTGAGCCTGTCAGGTTTTTCTTGAGAAATGGATAGATTTTGTTTAGAATTAACCATAATTTTGCCACATTACATTATTTCAAAAACACTGAAATGAAATAGAATTTCTAGAACTTGTGATGTTTTTATCTTTTGCTATCTATCAAGGCTACTTTTTATACCATTAGTAGTAACCTAATGATATCTTGTTCTGAAGTGATTATATATTTTTGGCCTCAATTATAAAATTCGAAAGTAGAGTTAGTTTTCAGTTTTTGTTTTTTGTTTTTTAAATAATGAATGATTCAGTTTAGTTGAATGATAAGGATTTCTTTAGGGTACAGAAAAAGGTAGGTGGCCTGCTCTTGGTAAAATATAGGTATTGATCTAGGCAGTATGTTTAATTAAATCTTCAGGATACTGAAGATAATTTCTGGGGGAAGTGTCAGAAATTCTAAGTAACAGTTTTATACTGTTTAGAAATAATTGGCCAGAATGTCTCTGTTATATTTAAGTTACCTAGGTGTATTTAGTAAAGTGGTATATCAAGCCGCCTCTTCTTTTTAAAGCAGTGGAATGGTTTGTAAAAGGATCTTGGGGTCGTCAGGGCTGGGGCTCTTGTGCTTGTAGTTCTCCTTTCCTTTCCCCTGAAGCTCCTCCACAGAGGAGGAGGGGCTTTGCCAAGCAGCAGGGCTGACCTAGAATGGAGGCTGCATCGTGGAAGGATCCGCCTATGTCACCCAGGCCCGAACCCCTGGATCTCATTTAGTTTTTTCTTTTGTCAAGAGTTGCCTTACCATACAAGCTGCTGTAAGGATCAAAAAGGTAATAAATAGCATGAACGAATTTTGAAAAGTGCAAATGCTAAACACATGTAAAGTGGTATGGCTTGTGAAGCGTGCTTGGGTTTATCAGTGATCATTACTTGATTTTATGAGCTGTTCGTATTATCAGAAGTAATGAAATCAGATGATCTGTACTTGTGTAAATGAGGGAATATTAATTCCCCTGGTTCCTACACTGAGTTTTGTCTAAACAAGGCCGTGTGCAGTTATATATACCTAACCTTTATTCCCCCATACCTTTCAGAAAGCTGTGAGAATAGGTGTCAGTCATGAGAATGCTAATTGAAATATATCGTGTTTCCAGATATATAGATCAAGGTCGAAATCCCCAGCTCTACACCAAAGAGTGCCTGGAGAGGGCTCTAGCTAAAAATGAGCAAGTTAAAGGCAAGATCGACACCATGAAGGTAAGACTCTAAGGAGTGTCAGAAATACAGTGGGAAGAGATGCCTTCTCAGTGGAATTTGGTTAAGAGACTCATTTTTTTCCATACTTGCTAGAATATTGACTTTCATAACTTCACATATTGAGATTTCTGAATTGTGTAATAGGCAGTAAGTAAAATTAGATATCAGCTGCGTAATAGCATAAAAAACATACACTAATCTTACTCTTAAGGAAATCCAGAGTAATTTTTGTGATAGTAGTTCTCACTGGCTGTGATCATTTTCATTTTTTTAAGATGCACTTTTATTGCATTGATACTTTCTATTTCTGTAGTAATTCCTACTGTTGAAGGCTTTCCCTGTAGTCATGGTTCTTTGTTTTAGAGGATTCTTGAATATTGATTTTTCTCTTTGTCCAGCTTCTGACCTCCAAACTTCTTTTTACCATATCCATTGTCATGAAATTCCCCAGATCACTTAGTTTTTCTTTGCCTTGATGAGATGTAGAGAACTCTCTGCACTTGAACATGAAATATGTAATTTTTTCTTAAATTGACTCAAATGTAGTTCAAATTGGTGTTTTGTTTCTTTATTTGGACTTAACGGCCACTCATTTCTGTTGGCGCCATGCGACTGTTGCCGTGTGCAGCAGGGACCTCTGCCTTCCTCTCCTCCCAGCTCACAATAGGTGCCTCTTCCTCCTCCCGGCCATCCACGCCGGCCTGGTTTTCGGTTCTGGAATACATCCAACCCTTTCGTTCGTGTTCTTTTCTCCTGTCATCTTCTCCGCCTGGAGCTCTTCCATGTTCTCTTTGCACAAGCGACTCTATCCTTCCAGTTTCAGATGATTTCACCTCCTCAAAGAGGCCTTTGGGACCAGCCTTTTCTAAAGCTTTCCTTGAGAATGCTGGTCAAGATTTACCTTTTAATTTTGTTTTTTCTGTTTGTTCTGTCTCCTCTGCCGGCTGCTTGAGCTCCAGGATCACAGAGGACATGAGTGTTCTGTTCCCACTGATGCCTGGTGCCAGACTGGGACACGTGTGCTCAGCCATGGCTAATGTGCGCAGGCAGGGATGGTCACACAGTGGCCTCTTGGCGCTCTGGCCGAGTGGGAGGAGCAAGGGGAGGAGCTGTCAGAAGGAGACCTGCCTAGTCACAGGCAGGTCACAGGGCTTCCAGAATCCCATTCAGGTGATCCCCTCCTGGTGGTAAACAGCACACCTCAGAAGTGGTGTTTTGTCATAGTTGTTCTTATGGCTCCCACAGCCTCATCTCTGTTTTGTCCATTTGGGATTGAGGAGTTGTTGAGTCCAGCGTCACCTTCAGAGCCAGTGCACTCCTTATCAATAGTGAGGGCCGCTCGTTTTGATTGTTCCGTTTCGCTTGATAAAGCTGAGTGAGAATTATATTGGCCAACAGAAACGTCTCTCTCCATGTGAACACAGCCACTGGGTCACCAGGGACGTGGCTTACAGTTCCAGCAGGCTCCTGTCACACTGGTGCCTTTGGGCAGTACAGAACTGTGCTGCTGGTGGTGACGTCCGGGGCTGTGCAGTGTCGCTTCCTTTTGCATATGTTGCTATTGGTGTCATTTCCTCTCTGAGATCAGTGGAAGTCTCAGGTCAGTCCCGTGGCCCTGTATTGCTTAGTGGGCCATGTGTTTAAACTTCCAAAAGGCATATTTTAAATAGTTATTGGAGTGTTGATGTGAAGAGCTCCTTTGATAATGTATTTTCTTTGTAGAAATTTAAAAGCCTGTTGATTCAAGAACTTTCTAAAGTATTTCCGGAAGACATGGCTAAGTATCGAAGCATCCGGGGGGAGGATCACCCGCCTTCTTAACCAGCTCACCCTCCCTGTGTGAAGATCCCCTGGGACTGCGATGCGGCGTGAGGCTGGGACTGCGAGTGCTGACGCCACCTTCCTGCTGAGGTGGGACTGGGCCCTGGACACACCCCTCAGCCCCTCTGTCCTCATTGTTTGGCCTCATGGGACCGAGGGGCTGGAGGAGAGGCGGAGCTGTGCCCCAGCTGTTCCAGCAGCTTGTCTGGCGTCAACTGGCTTTCAGAGTGCTGACCCCTCATCACTGTGGGGATCATTCTCTCTGAGGGCAGATGAGGCGCAGGAAAATAGTCTTGGAAATGTTAAATATGATGGGTAAATTAAAAGTTTTACAACATTCTACCTAATATTTTTCTTTTAACATACTCTTTCTGTTCTATTGTATTATGGTGTCCGAAAGCTAAATAACGACTAGGAAAAATTTTTTTAAAAAAAGAAAAATCAGTTTAATGTGGGAAGTACTTAAGTGGTATTATATTTTACATTTTCAAGTATAGTGCATAAAGAATGTTTTAAATGTAACTGTTTTCATGGATTTCAATTAGACATGCCTATAATAAACTAAGTATGTGGCTTATTCCATGTAATTATTTTTGTAATATAATACAATGTGTCTTGTAAACAGTTAATTATTACTTTCCCAGAGGGTTGGTAATATTCATAAGAAAATTTGTTTTCCAGGCATTTAGGCAGGAAAAGCTAAAGCAAAATGCAGAACTCCAATTTTTTCTACAAACCTTTCCTAGCGGCTATAGTACACCAATTTATTGACACTCTGGAAAGACGCCCGGCAGGGCTGTTTCAGCTTCAGTGTGCTTACAGATCCTGAGGGGATTCTGTGAACCTGCAGGTTCGGATTCACACGTCCGTTGGGCCTTGCAAACTGCATTTTTCATGAACTGCAGGTGGTGCTGTTTCTGTGATCTGTGGGCCACCCTTGGAGTTGAGGCCCTAGTGCGGCCTGTGCGGAGGTTGACCTATAGACCCCTGTGTCCGAATGGCCTGGGCAGGCTTGTTATTAAGGTAGGGCCCCAGTTCAGACGTGTTGAGCCTCAGGCTTTAGGATGGGCCCTGGGAATCTGTGTTAATTTGCCTCCTACGAGCGATCCTGAACCAGCCTCGATCCTAGCCAGGGCTGCCGGAATAAAACACCACATTCTGGGTGGTTTGAACAACAAACATGTATTTTCCCACAGTTCTGGAGGCTGGAAGTACAAGCTCACGGTGCCTGCAGAGTGGGTTTCTCCCGAGGCCTCCCTGGCTTGCAGACCTGCTTACTTTGACCTCACGTGGTCGTTCCTCTGTGTGTGTCACAGCCCTGGTGTCTCTTCTGTGTGTCCTAACCTCTTTAGAATCTAAGAACAGCAGTTAGATGGTATTAGGACCCACCCGAAGGACCCATTTTTAACTTACTTCTTTGAAGAACCTGTCTCCAAATACAGTTGCATTCTCAGGTCCTGAGGTTAGGGCTTTGACACTGGAGTTTTGGAGGGATGCAACTCAGTCCAGAATACTCCCCAGGAGGGTCGTATTTACCAAGAGTCAGGGGCCAGGCCCCTTAGGAAGCTGGTCCCTCGCTAGCAGTTCTGTTCTCTCCAAAACAGCACCAGAAAAGGACTCCTACTGCTACCAAGGGGAAGAATTTCTGCTAGAGTAGAGGAGGCCCCTGCTGGCAGGTTCGGGTGCCTGAATCGCTGTTCCGCCTTGTTTTTCTGGCATCAGGATGCTGACTATTGGCTGCTGCACGAGGGCCATGTGGGCACGCGGCTCGCTGGGCTCTTCCCACACACTTCACCTGCATCAACTCACCTGGCCCTCACCAGCCCTGTGAGGTCCGGCTTTCTTTATATTACTGATGTTGAAGCTGGGGCACCAGGGCTTAACGTGCCCGAAGCCCTGCAGCTTCGCCTCCCTCTGTGCTGGTTCTGGGTGGGTCCAAAGTGTCCACAGTCCCCTCTTCCTGGGCTCTGAAACATGGAGGATGTGCCGGCAGTAGGGGCTGTTCTACATATCCTGGGACTGAGTTAATCGGGTGGCCTCAAGCTGTTTTAATCTTGATGTCTGAGCCTTGGGAAGAGAGGGTGACTGTCAGCTAGAGATGCGTATCTGGTAGCCCACAGCATGACAAGTCTGCTGACCTAGGCCCAGCAGGGGCGGTGTAGCTGTCACACATTATTCTGGAATATTCACCAGTCTTTTTTTGAGTAAAAGTTTGGGTATATGGATGCACTGCCTTGGAACTCCTAACTTTCATCAGTGTGTCTGATGACACCACCACAGTGGGTCCCCAGGCAATGAAGAGGTGTTGGAGCCCCTCGACACTGTGACAGGCCACATGCCCCTTAATTCCACCCCACCTGCCATTACTGTTAGTCACAAGTGCCCATCACTTTCAAATCTCCTGAAATGCTGAGGAATCTACTTAGCTCGGAATTGATGTCAGTGTGAGAGGACTGGAGGGTTCCAGGCCGCGTTTGACACTCGGCGAGGCATGCTGTGACTGTCACTGACACTGCCTTCCAGAGCTCTCCACCCGGAGGAGCTTGGGTTCAGGTGCACACACCTGGCTGGCCCTTCATCCCTTCTTCTCAAAGACCTCATTTTGGTTAAAAGAATGATTGCGAGAGTCATCCTGGGACGGTATCAGCCATTTCGATCAGCTGCTTCACATCACCCCTGCCCATTGCCACCCAGTTCGTTCCAATCCCTGCTTTGCTTCTGACCTCTTCTTCCCCACCCCTTTCTTCCTGCAGACACAGATCGGGCAAACAGCCCCAGGGCCTACTGATTTTTGTTATGCCCAAGGACACCGCTGAACCACCACGAGGCAGGTATGGACTCAAACAGGGCCTGAGCCTGTGTCACTGTTCTAGATAATCTGTGCTGCCTCTGTGGGTCAGAATGAAAAAGCGAAAATTAAGCCCCACCTTTACACAGAACTAGAACATTCTTTATCTTTTTGGGTGTACAATCAGAAGGGTTCATTACAGAAAACTGAAAAATAGAGCTACAAAAATCTCCACATTTCTGCCCAAATTGTTACTATTGTGATTTTCATCCATCTAGATGTTCTCCTCTTGCACAGATGTGCACACACACTGAACAACTAGATGTGGAATTATTACTATGCACATGAGTTGGTAACCTTTATTCTTTTAACAGGATGCCATGAAATCTGGGCAACTCAAACTTCCTCTCACATAATTTTAATATTTAGCGTTCCATTAATGTGCTAACAGCAGATGTGTTGTTATTTACATGCTGGACACAGGTTAAGCACTTTCCATGCATTGCCTCAATTCCCACAGTAAATCGGTGAGGTTTACAGATGAGGGACCTGAGGCGCCTGCTCAGGTCACCCAGCTAACGAATGGGAGAGCTGGGCCTGTGCCTGCCACGTCACAAGACTGTGGCTCTCCTGGGCTTAGTTTATCAGCTCCCATTGGGTACCTGTGTGCTTCCCAGTTCTTCACTAATATGAAGTTATTATCTTTGACCATACATCTTCCACTTGTTCAATTGTTATTTAGGGTAAATTCCTGGAAGTTGAGCTGTTGGAGTTACACTTGATTAGGATTGTGATACCATCTGTCTCTATTGTGCTCAAGTCCTGAAATAACCAGGTGTTAGGTACAAGGGGAAGCGCTCATCTTTGGGGAGTATCAGTAATGTCACTGAGTAGTTTATCAGTTTTCTGTGTTCTTTTTTTATTTCCATTTTTTGAATCCTATCAAATATATATGAGTGCCTCATTAAAATATTTCTACAGTCAGTGACAATACAGGTGCTGGCTACAAACGAGGTCACATGTTTACCCTGTATAGCCAGGTGAGCCTGCTGTGTTTCCTGCCACTCACCTGCACAGAAGTGACCCATCTGTCCAAGTGACAGAGGTGCCATTGCCCCAAGGGAGTTCGACAATATACAGTCCTTGGTTCTGTCAAGACTCAGGTGACGTTAGGTGGCAGGTGTACCACTTCTTAAACTTTTTAAATGTATCACAAACCTAAGAAGTTACAAAGGAAAAGATCGATACATTTGGCTGTATAGCTGTTAGAAAAAAATAAATAACATAAGGCTAAAAACACCATAAACTCAAAAGGCAAAAAAGCTAAGAAAGTTCTTTTTTTTTTTTTTTTTTTTAAAAATAGAGACAGGGACTCACTCTGGCCCAGGTTGGAGTGCAGTGGCACAATCATAGCTCACTGTAATCTTAAATTCCTGGGCTCAAGGGATCCTCCCACCTCAGCCTCCTGAGTAGCTGGGACTATAGGTGTGCACTACCATGCCCAGCTAATGTTTTTTATTTTCATTTGTAAAGATCAGGTTTCACTATATTGCCCAGGCTAGTCTCAATCTCCTGGCCTCAAGTGGTCCTCCCTCCTTGGCCTCCCAAAATGCTGAGATTATAAGTGTGAGCCACTGAGCCCAGTTGTAATACTTATTATACATATCACAAGGAACTTCATGACTACTATGCAGAGCTCTTTCACAAATAAGAAAACCCAGCAGAAGAATAGGCAGGTGTTAATTTTTACATTATATAAATTTTACATTATATAAATTTTACATTATATTCAAGCAATAACTTGAATGTCCATTAATAATGGCTTAGATAAATCGTGCTTTATCCATTTGCTGGATAACTGTGCTATGACTAACATGAATGAAGGAATGAAGATCTGTATGTATTGATACAGAAAGACGGACAAATACATAATTACAAAACACGTTGATTCAGTCAACATTAGCTGAGGGTCGGCCTTGTCCAAGCTCCATCTGAATGAGTTTCTCCAAGGCAGACTTCTGCCTACTCGTGGCAGAACCACCAAGGAGCTTATTAAAATGCTGAATCCAGACCCCATTCCAACCAGCACAGCTTCCGGAGAGCCCTCTCTTTCCTTGACTTCTAAACAGCATGCTCCAGCAGAGGTTCAGGTTTGGGTTCCTCGAGGCATCTTTCCTTACCCACCCTCTCCCTGGACAAGCTCATCTATTCCCTGGCACCGGTTACCATCCTGTGCTGAGATTCCAGGTTTATAGCCCAGCCTAAATGAGTCCTACACTTCTGTAACCCAACTTCCATTTTTTTCCCCCTCTGCTATTCCCCAGGAACCTCCAACTCAGTGTCTCTAAAATTACACAGATACGTTTCCTACCCAAGTCTCCCTCTGTGTCTGCCTCAGAAAGTGGCATGAACTTTCAGCTGGTCATATCATCTTTGCCTCCTTTCTGTCCCTCCCTCTTCCCCTGCCCTGGTATCATTGCCATCACTAAGTCTCCTAAATACCCCATTTCCTTGCTTTTATTTATTTATTTTCACTCCAGTCATACTCGTATTTCATCCTCTCAGTCCACCACACCTCCACATAACTCACCTCTTTCCTGGCTCACCTGTGCGCATCTTTCAGGTTGCAGTGTAAAAGTCATTTCTGTTATCTCACCTTCTCTGACACCTCAGACCAGTGCTGGTCTGTTTGTCAAACTCTCCTTTGACATCCAATAAGTATCAAAGGTAGCTCTCAGAGTTACAGAGGAAGTATCTGACCTTCAAGACTGTCATCTCCTTAAGAGTCTGGACCACACCAGCCTCGTCCACTACTATACCCTGGACTTATCACAGTGACTGAGACGTAATGGGTACATATCAATTGTTAAACGAATGAGCAAACTGATGTATGCATTTGGCCTCAAATTCTATAACACAAGTAAGTCTGGGTGTTTAAAGAACCAGCAGCAGTGTTTGTCTTCTTCTTTGTACCAAAAGATTCTCTTCTGTGTTTTTGGAAGAAAAATAACTAAATGACACAAAAAGAAAACAAATGACATGACTTGGTGATAAGGAAGAAATACTGTGGGTGGCAGTGGGAGTCACACAGCTGAGAAAGCCAGAATTTTTGCAGATGGCCCTGGCATACACGCGCTTCAGCAGAACTGCGGGAGTGCAGATCCTCTGAGGGTAGGACGGGCTGCAGTGTGTGGGACCACCAGGCCATGGGGCAGGAGAGGTGTGTGCATAGGTCGCTGCCGGCAGGAGGCATGGGGAGAATTTCTGTGTCCCCAGCAGTGTGGCAGGAAGCCCCTGAGGACGCTCTGCCAGAGGAAGACTTGAACTTCCTCATTTCCCAGGTGGAGGTCAGTGCCCCCTTCCTGAGCTGGTAAGTACAGGTTCTCCACGGAAGACACAGACAGAAGCTCCAGCTTGTCATTTATACACATACAGTTTCAAAGCCACACACATACTGGGCTGTTTGTTTTTGGTAAGTGCACGGCAAACACAGAGTTGGGATGCACGTGCCCGTGTAATTTTAAACACATTGGAAAGATAGAGGAGGCCAGTTCTAATTTGAGGACTGTCTAGCTGCAGTGATTTATCGTACACAGACCTGAAGCATCACCACACTGCCGTGTTGGCACAGATGCAGATGGCATCGTTCTCACTGGTTTTTGGAGACTAGAGCCCTCTGAAGTATGAATACCCTGCTTACAAGCAGGCCGAATGGCATAGCGGTTGCATCACCAAGCTGATTGCTAAGCCAGGTGTTTTGTAGGCAGAACATTATTATTTTGAATAAACTCAATAGCAACTTTTTAGTATCAACATAAACCCAGCCTTTCAGGGGCTGGCTGACTGGCCATGGGCGTGTGGCTGGTCAGGGAGGGGCTGGGTGTCCAGCAGCATCCTGTGACTCACAGCCCTGTGCTCCATCCACTTTGATACTGGAAGGCTTGCACGCACCATGTGTACTCAAATGCTGAAGCTGAGACTTAAAAAAAGATTCCTCCAAAACAGTCATGAAGTCTACGTGGTTTGAGGTGCCCAAGCTGACCCATCTGGGGGTGTTCCCTTACCTGGGTGGACACAGCTGGGGACCCAGCTCCTCCATCCCTCTCTGGAGCCCTGTCAAAGCCCAGGTCTGCTAGACAGTGTCCCTGCGGTTGCCCCGATGATCCTGCCGTTTGAGGCTTGGCCTCATCACAGGGCTTGGCTCTGGAGGCAGATGTAGCAGCTTCGATGGCGCCACTGCAGAGGGCAGTGCCAGCTGCCATTGTCCTCGGGAGCCCAAGACCAGCATCTCCAACTCTGTGGAGAGACCCTGGAGCTGTTCCACAGTAAGAGGTGTTGATCACTGACTCTGGATCGGGCACTGTGCGCAGGTTTGAGGGATGGTACCTCGTTTATCCCCAGACCCATTCCACTCACAGAGGGGAGCCAGGGTCCCGAACAGGGAAGGGACATCTCCGGGGTCACACATGCAGTAGGCCAACTGCAGCCTGGATTTTGCTGGGAGGAGGCGTCTGCTGCTCAGACTGCCTTTGGTCATTCCATCAGAGAGAATGTGCTAGAGGTGGAGGGCAGGGGGTACTGAGGGAGATGGGGAAGGTGACTTGCCTCGTGCTGCGCGATACTAGGTGGGCCGTGCTGTGTGTGCTGGTCTCACCTTCAGCTTGCAGGAGCTCTGAGCACGTCACACCCTGAAACCACTGGGGCTGTACTCATTGCTGGTTGGGGCGAGCAGTGGAATGTATTGGGATGGTTGTTCAGGCAGAGTGTGAGTGGGAATGCAGGTGCCAAGGTGATCAGTAACCCCTGCATGGAAGATGCCATTTCTTCCAGCTGCCAAAGAGCTGCATTAGGAGCAGGGACCTCAAGGAACCCTGTTTTGGTTCCTGCTCCAGTCCCAGATTCCCGGTTCTGTTTAGAAGGCAGCCTCTAAGTAATAGAGCTAATTCATTTCAATATGACAATATATATACACACATATGTGTGTATCCATATGTATGTACTTACAAGCTCCATGTGCATGCATCTGTGTGTGTGTGTGTGTGTGTGTGTGTGTGTGTGTGTGTGTAGTCATCCAGTCTTTTAGGGACTTAGGGATAAGGCAGGGCAATTGGGGAAGTTTGCACATGGGAGCCTGGACTGGGTTGAATGGTTCTTCCCCCAAAATCGTGAATCGTGTCCACCTGAAACCTCAGAATGTGACTTTATTTATTTTTATTTTTATTTTTATTTATTTATTTATTTATTTATTTATTATACTTTAAGTTTTAGGGTACATGTGCGCATTGTGCAGGTTAGTTACATACGTATACATGTGCCATGCTGGTGCGCTGCACCCACTAACTCGTCATCTAGCATTAGGTATATCTCCCAGTGCTATCCCTCCCCCCTCCCCCACCCCACAACAGTCCCCAGAGTGTGATGTTCCCCTTCCTGTGTCCATGTGATCTGATTGTTCAATTCCCACCTATGAGTGAGAATATGCGGTGTTTGGTTTTTTGTTCTTGTGATAGTTTACTGAGAATGATGGTTTCCAATTTCATCCATGTCCCTACAAAGGACATGAACGCATCATTTTTTATGGCTGCATAGTATTCCATGGTGTATATGTGCCACATTTTCTTAATCCAGTCTATCATGGTTGGACATTTGGGTTGGTTCCAAGTCTTTGCTATTGTGAATAATGCCGCAATAAACATACGTGTGCATGTGTCTTTATAGCAGCATGATTTATAGTCCTTTGGGTATATACCCAGTAATGGGATGGCTGGGTCAAATGGTATTTCTAGTTCTAGATCCCTGAGGAATCGCCACACTGACTTCCACAATGGTTGAACTAGTTTACAGTCCCACCAACAGTGTAAAAGTGTTCCTGTTTCTCCACATCCTCTCCAGCACCTGTTGTTTCTTGACTTTTTAATGATTGCCATTCTAACTGGTGTGAGATGGTATCTCATTGTGGTTTTGATTTGCATTTCTTTGATGGCCAGTGATGATGAGCATTTTTTCATGTGTTTTTTGGCTGCATAAATATCTTCTTTTGAGAAGTGTCTGTTCATGTCCTTCGCCCACTTTTGTGACTTTATTTGGAACTCAAGTTTTTGCTGATGTAGCCAGTTAAGTTAAAACGATGTCATACTGGATTACGGTAAACCCTAAGTCTAATGACTTGTGTTCTTATAAGAGAAAACAGAGACACACAGGAGAGCATGCCAGGTGAGGCAGTGGCCGATCAGCTGATGAAACTGATGCACCTGCCAGCCAAGGCACCCCAAGGAGCTCCAGGGTCACCGGAAGCTGCAAGAATCCAGGAGGACCCTGCCGTGGAGCCTTCCGAGAGAACACAGCTCTGCTGACACCTTAGTTTCTGACTTTTCCCCTCCAGAACCACGAGAGACTAAATTTCTGTTCTTTTTAGCCACTCAGCTTGTGATGATTTGTTACAGCATCCCCAGAAAAATAATATAAGAGCCCAAGGATGGATGAGGCGGGGGATGGTACAGAAGGCACACACGCTGTAGAGAGCTGCAGCCCTGGGGGATTTGGACACCATTGTGTTAAGCAGGTGCTTACTGAAGTGTTCAGCTCAGACACAGCCCGGCCCTGGCAGCACAGATGAATGACCTGGGAGGTGGCTCCCAGCAAGCTCCCAGGCCCAGGACCCCCTTGCTCAGCCCATGGCCAGATAGTGGACCTCTCAGTGATTGGCTGTGCTGCGTGCTGAATCACCAGCCCCTCTTTCACTTCCCACCGTGATCTGGGGGCTTCCCGCCCTGATTTGGGGGCTCCCCACGTAGGCCTTACCTGGTTTGGCTGGGTTTCTGAGGCCTGACTTGTCTTCAGCTCAAAGTGATGTCTGATGGTGGAGACCTTGTGCTGCAGCCTGTGGTCCCGGCTGGGCAGGGAGAACTGGCAGGCGTCAGTTTAGGGCCCAATTTGGCCTATTCCTTGCTGTATGGCCTGGGGGCTTCTCTCAGCTGGGGCACTTCTAGAGTAGGGAGAACAACTCCCAGTGTTGATAGAAGGAAAGCATGTGCTTACACGTTTACTCTCTCTGGTGCCGGGGATGTGGTAAGTAATTGATCAGCCAATCAATAGCAATCAGTCAATAAAGGGTCACTTCAGTTATTCCTGTCTTTATTTTACTGTTTGATTGCTAGCCTTGGTTCCCAGAGCAACTGTCTAATTTTTTTTCCTTTTTTTTGCACATTGCATCTTCTAACATGTCTGCCGGACCTTTAGCCCTGGTTCCATGAAGATGGGGATGAGGATGGTGACACTGAGAAGTCTCCCTGGCACACAACAGCATGCTTAGATGAGCCCAAGCTCAGGTCAGTTTATTATTTTCTTTCAGACATATAGAGAAAGGAGACAGATTGGCCATTACCTCCATGTGGGTACGGACCAATTGAGGTCACAAGATCCCCGTAGCTGCGGTCTTCACAGCAGAGCCGTTATGATCATGAGAGCAGGAAGGAGGTCAGCTTCACCCTGCAGCTGAGCATGAAGAGGAAATTTGGAAGAGAGGCTGGGAAAACAAGGGATACACTGGTGGAATATTTATTTCTAGCTTTATTTATAGCATCCTTTGCTCAGAATCAGGAATCAGCAAAGCAGCAGAGAGGTGGGGCTGCCCCTTGAGTACCGGTTGTAGCTGGGGCTTCTCTGGTGCTCAGGCGGTCACATGTCCCTTGGTTTTCCTTCATGGCCCTGCCCTCTTCTGCTTGGCACTGGGTCTGCTTGCCTCTCCTTCTGCAGTTGGCTCCTTGGGGTTTTGTGACCACGTTACATTCTACAAAGCCATTTACTGCCCAACAATTAAGGCAGTCATGTAGGAGGAAGGCTGACTGCTAGGATCCCTCTTTCAGTAGGAGGAAGGCTGACTGCTAGGATCCCTCTTTCAGGGGGCTTTTCTGCCTTTGCATTTCTGTTGGGGAATAGTGTTTCCACTTGGGCTTGTGCTAGGATTTTTCATGATGGATTAAAAAGCGTCTCTGTTTTTCCACTATCGTTGAAGTTTTCCAGGTTTTTTTAGGAGTGAGCCATCTTATACAGGATAATAATGTCCATCATACCTTAAAATTTTGAAAATAATTTTACGTAACTTCTCTCCCTTAATTTAAATATGCACCAAAAATAATTATAAACGTATATTTACACATATGTGTTGTATTTATTTTAACTGTGATTGTCCTTTACTGTTTCATGTAGGTTTGCTGCAAATTAGGAAAGGTTCAGCTAAGAATGAGATGCAAAGATAGAAATTAATTTTTCTCCTGCAACAGCAATGCTAAGCTGTCTGCCCAGACAGCAGTAGCTCCTCACAGGCATCAGCCAGGACCCAGGCTCACCTGTCTGCTCTGCCATCCTCAGCATGGGTTCTGTCCTCACATTACAAGATGGCTGCTGCACCTCCAGGCATCACGTTTGCATTCCAGGCAGGAATAACATAGAGGGAGGGCAAAGGCCGACGGGCAAAAAGATTTCTCCTGTGGAAGCTTTGCCATTTTATTCTGGAAGGGCTGTCTTTCTCATGGACTTCTGCTCACATCTCATGGACAAGAACACTGTCGCATGGCCCCCCGCCCCCGATTACGAGGGAGTCGAGTGATCTTAGGTTTAGCTCTTACAGTCCTTAGAACAGAGGCAGGCAGGGGCAGAGAACAGAGGCAGGCAGGGGCAGAGAACTGAGGCAGGCAGGGGCAGAGAACAGAGGCAGGCAGGGGCAGAGAACTGAGGCAGGCAGGGGCAGAGAACAGAGGCAGGCAGGGGCAGAGAACTGAGGCAGGCAGGGGCAGAGGGGACTGACAAGGAATGGGAGCTCTCAGGCAGCCGGCGGGGCCTGCTCTGGCACCTTCAGGATGAGGATGGCCTGGATTTCCATTCACTGGGTGCTCATGTTGGCCCTTTCCTGTAGAAACTTACTTTGTAGGAGTGACTTAAGGCTAAAAATTGAATTTCATGTAAGTAAATTTAAACCCCGGATGCGTCATTGTGAGTTTTCAAGTTTAGTTTATCTGATGAGCGCAAGGCCCAGCACTGCGCCTCAGTCTAGACAGAGTTTGGAATAAGAAGCAGCAGCCATCCACGCGGGGCTGTCTGCAGGCTCCCTCTGGGAGTGCTGAGGAATGGCATGGTTGGTGACAGTGCTCACCAGAGGTTGCGTCCGGGAGCTGCAGAGGAGCTGCTTTGTCCGTCCATGGCCCTGCCCACATCCACGGCTGCTGCCTCCCTGGCTGGCCTCACCTTCGCCTCTGCCTAGAGTAGTCTCAAGTCAGGGCATAGATGCTGGCGGGACCGAGGTAAATAATCCGACTGGAAAAGCAAGCAGGAGTCTTCCCGATTCTCCAGGTGGGAGGATTCCCGAGTCTCAAGCTGGAGTCCTGGGAGGCACAGCCACTGTGAGGTGCCACCTGCAGCCGCAGGCAGATGGGTCAGGGAAGCAGGGCCTCCTCTGCCTGCAGTGGCTGCAGGACTCGTAGGCGTCACCCTCTTTAACGCATCACAGCTAGTTTATTTTCACCTTTTCATGGGCCATCATCTGTTCCTAACCTCCTGTTCCTCTTCTCAAGGTTGGGGGAGGTGGCTCGATGCAAAGACGGCCCCAGGGCCTGCCACATCCTGCCTCCTCCTTCCAGCTCTCTCCCCTCTCCTTCCTGCCCAGCCTTCCTCTTGAAAACGCCCTGAGCCCTTTTCCTGTGCCTTTCTCAGCCACCTGCCTGCAGAGGGGCTGCTGATGAGGAAGAGATGGTCCCTTCCCTGCCTGCGCTCCCGTGCTCACTCTGCGTGTCCACCCCATCAACCCTCCAGGGACGCTTCTTTTTCTCCCAAGATATGTTAGGGGAAGAGGCACGTATTTTAAGGTGCCCTCTGGGCAGTCTCTTTGTGCCCCAGCATTTATTAATTTGCAGCCACATGCAGCCTGGAGTGTCAGAGTCCCAAAGGGATGTTAATACAGTCGTCCACTGATTTAATCAAAAGCAGCAGCTGGGGCCCGGGGTGCGGTCGAGTTATGAAATTAAGACACAGTGCAACACACAGGAGGGCCTTTTATGCAAACTGTTGGTCTGACCACTTAAAAGTTTGGGATGTGAGTGAAAATTGAATGTTCATCCTCAGATGTGTAGCATGCTCCACTGTGAAACTAATTGCATTTCAGTAGCACGTGGAGGCCATTATCATTGCTATTATTAATAACCATTTATTAACTGTGCACAGTGTGAAACCAGAGAGCTTACTCAGCACAGAGCCCTCCATTACAGAAACTGGGCATACACAGGATCGATTTGGACCTGTTTTTTATTGCTGCTCTTGTTAAGCTTAAATAGTCTTTTGTTTGTACAAATGTTATTTTTGTGCAGCGAGCAAAAGCAGATAGCGTACTTAACACTGCTGTTTCGCACACTTGTTTTTCATGGTGAAAAATGTGAATGGTGCAGAGCTTCCAGACCCAGCCTCAGTGTTTTTAACCATGGACATCCTCCCAGGCAGACCAGATGCCCTCTACGCGTAATATTCAGGTTTGTGCTTAGAAAAATACATAGAGGATCGCATTATACACACCCTTCAGGGTTTTGCTTTTTTCGTTTGAAATACCTTTGCAAATCTTTGTCAGCAGGGGCAGGCTGGCAGGCCCGTCGGTGGTGCCCATGGCATGGAGGAGCCGCAATGTGCTTAGACTCTAGGATGCCAGCAGTGCCATGGGGTATGCCATTGTTCATTGTCCTGGACTGGCATCTGTGGAGTCCCTTGGGATTAATTTCTTAAGATGGAATTATGTGTACTTAAATGTTGCTAATTATTACCAAACTGTGACCCAAAAAAGTGTCACCAATCAGCCCTCCCAGAAATGGCACGGGGAAGTGTCTGCTTTGGTTCATCATGTTTCTGAGCTCCCAGCTCTCTGGCCCCCTCTGCAGAGATCGACCACTAAGGCTGTTTATTGAGTTTATTGAGTGTCCTTCTAGACTTTTTATGTATGCCACACTCATAGGCATGCTTATTGTGTCTCTCCTAATTCTCCTCAATGGTTGTGACAGTTTCTCCAAACTGGGGCCCAGGATGGGTGGGATCACCTGTGCGGTGCGGAGCTTGGAGCCATGGCTGCAGGGAGCTCAGGAAACCAGAGACTGGTCCCCTCTGACCCGCCCGGTGGGACCCCTGCTTTCCTATGGGGACACAGCAGCAGCATCAGTGAGCAAACTGAAAAGAAAAGACTTTTCCTTTGTGCAGCCATTAGCAGAGGAAAACAAATGCCAAATGTAGGTGTGTTTTGGCGTTGGTAGGGGGATAAAAGAAATGCATGTATGCACCGGCTGGTGAAATGGGATTTACAAACACAGTCACGACTTAGTGACAGGAATACATTAGGAAAAACCCGTCGTTAGGTGATTTTGTTGTTGTGCAAACATCGTAGCATGTACTTACACACACCTAGATGGTGCAGCCTGCCACACACCTAGGCTCTATGGGAGAGCCTGTTGCTCCCAGGCTGTAAACTCACGCAGCAGGTGACTGTGCCGAATGCTGGAAGCAATTGCAACACAATGGTGAGTATTTGTGTATCGCAACATAGAAAAGGTGTAGTAAAAATACTGTACAAAAGACAAAACATGATGGCTTCCAGCTTCATCCATGTCCCTGCAAAGGACATGATCTTGTTCTTTTTTATGGCTGCATAGTATTCCATGGTGTATATGTGCCACATTTGCTTTATCCAGTCTATCACTGATGGGCATTTGGGTTGGTTCCAGTCTTTGCTATTGTAAATAGTGCTGCAAGAAACATATGTGTGCACATATATACCTATGTAACAAACCTGCATGTTCTGCACATGTATCCCAGAACTTAAAATAAAAAAAAAAAAGAAGAGAAAATGGTTCACCTGTACAGGGCACTTACTATGAATGGAGCTTGCAGGACTGGAAGTTGCTCCGGGTGAGTCAGGGAGTGAGTGGTGAGTGAATGTGAAGGCCTAGGACATTACTATACACTACTGTAGACTTTATAGACACCAGACACTTAGGCTACGTGAAATTTATTAAAAATGTTTTCCTCTTCAATAATATACTTAACTAAGTGTACATTTTTAACTTTATAAACTTTGAAATTCTTTGTAACTTGACTCTTTTGGAAAAACACTTAGCTTAAAACACAAACCCATTGTATAGCTGTACAAAAATATTTGCTTTCTTTACATCCTTATTCTATAAGCTTTTAAGTTTTTTATTTTTTTACTTTTTAAACTTTTTTGTTAAAAACTAAGACACAAACACAGGCTAACCTACATTACAAACCTATCATCTAGGCTAACCTACATGAGCCTAGGCCTACACAGAGTCAGGATCATCAATATTACTGTCTCCCACCTCCACATCTTGCCCCCCTGGGATGTCTTCAGGGGCAGTGACACGCATGGAGCTGTCATCTCCCATGACAACAGTGCCTCTGAATACCTCCTGAAGGACCTGTCCGAGGCTGTTTTACAGTTACCTTTAAAAAAAAAATAAATAGGAGTACACCATAGATAGGAGGATACCCTAAAATAATGATAAAAGTATAGTAAATGCTTAAACCAGTAATATATGCATTTATTATTATTATCAGGTATGATGTACTGTAGATAATCGGTATGTGCTACACTTTTCTACGACTGGCAGTGCAGCAGGTTTGTTGACACCAGCCTCCCCACAAATGTGAGCAACGCGGTGTGCCGTGTTCCTATGACTACAGCATCACTAACGCAGTGTGCCGTGTTCCTATGGCGACAACATCACTGGGCAGTGGGAGTTTTTCAGCTCCGTTGTAACCTTATGGAGCCAGCGTCATATACTTGGTGCCTACTGACCACAACGTCGTTATTTGGTGCATGCCTATACTTTGTCATCACAAGTGGCTGCTGAAACTTCTCTCCCTTACACAAACACACGTGTGCATACACATAAGCACATGCACACATATATCTGGGGAGCCTTTATCTGTGCTTCCTTGGGTACCATGGTGAAAACGCTTTAATCTAGAGACTCTGGATCGAAGCATGGGAAAACAGAAAAAAAGATGTGTTTGCAGAAATGCCTGTACTGCTGTCCTGCAGGAGCATGTTAGTCTCCTACCGTGAATTTTAGAACTTCAGTCTCTTTGGCAACTGTGTTTCTGGAGCTCTCCCTGCTTGCTGGAACTGCTTGTGTACAAAGCCACGCAGTTGTGGAGGAGGGACCCTCAACCGCTTTAGCAGCATGTGCTGCCAGGGAAACCCCTTTTTCCCTTACCATGTCAGGAACCAAGTGAAATAATAGAAGCCTGGAAAAGAAGACGGCTTGCATTTGAGGTGTGGTAGGCAGAATAATGGCCCTCCAAAGAGGTCCACCTCCTAATCCCCTGGACCTTTGGATTCGTTAGGTTATGTGGTGCAGGAGAATCAGATGAAATTAAGGTTGCTAATCAGCTGACTTTAAAAGAGGGAGATGCCCCTGGATTATCTGGGTAGCCCCATGTAATCACAGGGGTCCTTAGAAGTGGGAGAGGAAGGTGGAAGAGGAGAGTCAGGGGGAGCCTGGGCACAGAGGCATGGTCAGAGAAACACAAGGCTGTTGGCTTAAGAGGACCAAGGAATGTGGGTGGCCTCTAGAAGCTGGAAAGGCAATGGAGCAGAAGTCCCACCCCCACCCCGCCCCGGCCAACCCCTTGCCTCCAGGAGGAACCAGCCCTGCTGACACCTTCAGGTTAGCTCAGTGAGACCGGCTTTGGAACTCCTAACCTACAGAATCCCAAGATGATAAACTAGTGTTGTTTTAAGCTGCTAAGATTGTGATGACTTGTTACAACAGCAACAAGAAACGAACACAACAGGTTGCCCGAAAGAGTCTCTTTCGACTCCAAGGCCATTCACTTTCCACCAGCCAGGGGTATCTTGGTTTCAGGAAGAAGATAAGATGTCATTAGATGGTAGCCTGGAGCTCACACAGGGCAGCTGCGTCCATCTGGGCAGAGAGGACGCTTTCTGGAATGGCTTTCTGTTGGTGATGCCTTCCAGGATGGCCATGGGGCAGACAGGAAAGAAGGGAGAGCCTTAGGTCGAGGGCATTGGGGTCCCTGCCCTCACAGGAGCTGGTGCTGAGGGCGGGACATGTAGGCACCAAGGGCAACCTGTTCCATGAACAGCCCAGCAAGAAGCTGCAGCACCCAGGAGGCCCCAGAGGTACCTGGGGTGAGGGCCTGCCTGGGCATCACGGCTGCACACAGTGGCTCAGTGCCAGCAGAGAACCGCCAGGGGAGAGGGGTCTCCTGCGGAGGAACTTGGTGCCTCGTGTGCCTTCCTAGTAGCTGTCACACAATAGGGACCCTGGGAATGTCCTAGGAAATGACACAGACTCCTAGCTCCACTTGGCCAGTTTCTGCATTTAGAAGGGTGAGCTCTGGGAGGACCTGCTTTGAAGACGCAGTGATGTCACGTAGACTGAGTTTGTGAACTTTCAGGGGTGAAGGATTGGAAAGCTGCCTTTCTTTGGCTATTTCATAAGTATACCAAGATAGTAGAATTCCTACAGCTAAAGAGCAGTGATGTATTACTTTTCAGTAAGCTTTGCAGACCTGGGTGTAGAAAGCATTGCAGCATCCTCACCTCTTCTCTGAGTGTCCCCTTCACACAAGTCGGCCATCCTCTGAGTTCTCAAAGGGAGGCTGTTCCCTCTCTTGCCACTGAGGCGTGCCCTCCCTGCTCCCCTCCCTGTGGCCTTGTCCACATGCTCTCTTTCACCCTCTGCCAGACACAAAGCCCATCTAAGCCCATGTCCCATAGCTCTTATCCCTGACCTACAGGACCACTCCCTCATTCCCTGAGCCTCCGGACCCTGGTCATGGTGTTCCTTTCATTTTCCTTCCTGGCACCATTTTTAGGTCATTGGTCTCCTTGAGGATAATCTGCTGAATGCCTGGTCTCTGTTGTGGGACCTCCTCACAGCTCTAACCACCTTCCTGGCACGCTGTGGCCTCCTTCTCCTGTGGCTGGACCCCCAGCCTGTCTCTCCCCAGCCTCTGCCTCCTTCTCCCATGGCTGGACCCCAGCCTGTCTCTCCCTAGCCTCTGCCTCCTTCTCCCATGGCTGGACCCCCAGCCTGTCTCTCCCCAGCCTCTGCCTCCTTCTTCCGTGTTTGAACCTCAGCCTGTCTCCCTCCAGCCTCTGCCTCCTTCTCCCGAGGCTGGACCCCCAGCCTGTCTCCCTCCAGCCTCTGCTTCCTGCTTCTATGTCTGGACCCTCAGCCTGTCCCCCTCCAGCCTCTGCCTCCCTCTCCCAAGGCTGAACCTCAGCCTGTCTCCCTAGTCTCTGCCTCCTTCTTCCATGTCCAGACCCTCAGCCTGTCCCCCTCCAGCCTCTGCTTCCTTCTTCTGAGGCTGAACCTCAGCCTGTCTTCCCCCAGCCTCTGCCTCCCTCTCTGACTGCCTCCGCCTGCCCAGCCTCCTGGGTGAGCCCCCACTGTGGTGCTTTCTGGCCCCCATTCATTCTTCTTACCTCATTTCTGCTCCCTAGCTTTCCCTCCACCCTTAGTTCCTTTCTTACCCAGCTAAGATTCTGTGGCTCATGATGTCATTCCTTCTTTTGAGCATCCTCAATTCCCTTGCCCTCTTCCCTCTCTTTTATAATTCACTTGGAAACATCCCAGCTCTGATTAAACACATTTATCTACCCTGAGGATCTGAACATCGCAGGAGACAGTTACACATCTGGCTGAGGCTCACTTACGATTCATGATTGCAAACCTCAGAAGGGTCTTAGTGCGGCCTGGAAACCCGGCCGAGTGGTCCTGGCCACTTTGGTGCCCCCAACCCCCCTGCCCCATGTCCCTGAGGACCTTTTCAGGGGCCCGAGGCAGCAGGGAGTCTCCCTTCCTGGTGAAGCCTCTTGAGCCCGGGGAACCCTGGGCGCCACCCGGGAATGGGAGCCGCCTAATGCTCAGGCCCTCCCCAGCCTGTTCTGACTTACTTGGCCTAGAGTGGGGCCCAGGCAGAATTCGATTTTACTGTTTAATTTCCTCATTTCATTGAAGTAGAAGAGTGGATCGGTTTCCTGCAGCTGCTTTTACAAATGACCACAGACATGGTCTCTTAAAATAACAGAAATTTATTCTCTCAAACTCCTGAACTGAAGTGATCTGCCCGCCTTGGCCTCCCAAAGTGCTAGGATTACAGGCATGAGCCACCCGTGCCCAGCCTTAGAAATGTATCCTGATAGTTCTGGAAACCAGAAGTCTGAATTCAGCGGGGCTGTGCTCACTCCGAAGGCCCCAAGGAAGGATCCTTCCTGCCTCTTCCAGCTCTGGGTGCTCCGGGAGCTCCTTGGCTTGTGGCCACATCCCTTGAAGCTCTGCCTCCATCTTCACATGGTCTTCTCTGTGTCGCTGTGTGGCCTTTTCTCTCTCTTACAAGGAGGCTCTCATTTTAGGTTTCCAGCCCACGTGGGTAATCCGGGATAAATTCCTCCTTTCAAGATCCTCACCATAATCACATCTTCTGCCATATCAGGTAGGGTTGATTCTCATCATAAAAGATTCTGGGAACTAGGTTGTGGACCTATGTTTTAGGGGGTCCCCATTCGGCCCACTACAAACAGATAGAAGGGAAATGAACAGATTCTAAGTACACAGCTCAGTGAATCGTCACAAATGAAACACATCCAGGCAAACAGGATACAGAAGAAGGAATAGCACCTCTCCCACATCCTGCAAGCCCCTCGTGCCTCCTACTTGTCCTTAACCCGCATTCCAACAGGACCCACCTCCCACGTCTGAACAGCACAATTTTGAACCACACATACACCGAGCCACACTGTGTGCGCTTTTGTGCCTGCTTTTTTTGCTCACCATTATATGTGAGATAAATCCCTTTTGTTGTGTCTAGTTGAAACTTGTTCATCTTCATTGTTGCGGTATAGCTTTGACTGTGTGAACACACCGCAATTAGGGATCCATTCTACTGTAGGTGGGCATTGGGTTGTTTCTAGATTTTGGCAACTATGAATCTTGCTGTTGTGATGATGTGTGGATTTGTCTTTGGATGCACACACATACTCGTTGCTGTTGTGTGAATGCCTAGGAACAGGGTTTCTGGGCCATAGGGAGATGTGTTCTCAGCATCAGTAGATCCTGCAAACCCTGTTCTGGAATGGATGAGTGAACGCTTTCTCAATAGAGATGAGAGCTCATGTTGCACTCCCTTCCACGCTGGGTACTGCCTTTGTCACGTCAGTAGTTCTCACGTGTGCAGGGTGTTGCATTGCCCTGTGGGAGATATCAACCATTTTTTCATCTGTTTACTAGCCACGCGGCTATCCTCTTCTGCATAGTACCTGTCCAAGTCATTTGCCCATTTCTTTGAATTGTCTGGATTTATTGGATTTTTCTTGTTGATTTGCCCAAGTCCTTTGCCAAATGCGTGTCTTATGAATGTCTTTTCTGTGGTCTGAATTTCCCTCTCAGTGGTGTCTTTTGATGAATAATACTTCTTATGTTCATGTGGCTCAATGTACCTTTTTTTTTCCTTTTGTGGTTTTAGTGCTTTTTTTTCTTTTCCCATATTTTCTTAAAGTTTTATTATTTCACCTTTCATGGTGAGACTTACAATCTATATGGAATTAAATTTGTAAATGTGAGGTCAGAATGGGGGATATGTGTCTATTGCCCCTGATATTTAGATACACATCTAAATATCTGCTGCCTTTTCTCTGTCTCTTGTTGTCTTCGTTTTGAGGACTCTCCTTTTCCTGAGTGTCCCATGGCTGATTTTGTGTGGGTGGCAGTGGGAGGGCAGGAGGAGGAAGAGGGACTGCTGGGTCCTGTGTCTTTATTCCCAGCTCCCTCCCGCCCAGTGAACTCTGGTCTGGTGGGCAGCAGACTGGCTCCCTCACTTCCCTTACTTCTCTTCCAGGAAGCCCATCCTGGTCTCCATTCCCCAAAGCTGCTCTCCTGCTTGACTTCAGCCACACCCTCCTGCCACCCTCTTCCTCTGCCTGCTAGCCCTTTGGCTCTCCAGGGAGTGCGGCTCATGGCTTGTCTCCCCATTGATCCTCCTTCACCTCCTGCTTGTGTCTCCTGTGCCTGACAACGAGCTCACCTTCCTGCCTCACTGTGAGTGCCTGCCCTGCCAGCCCTGCTGATGCCGTGAGTTTCTTCTGCCCTCCACTGTGCCGCACGGCACAGCCCATCATAGCACTTTGCTTGCCTGGAGGTCTGCGAGCCTTCTCAGGGGAAGGAGGGGGCTTTTCCCCCTTGGCCTCACTGTATTCATTGAATTGCATGAAATTGGATTACTCTCCAGCATTGCCTGAGTCCAGTGTTGAGAGAAAGGTAGGTGAACTCCATCCATGAGTACAAGGGAAATTCTTTGGAAATGTGTTTGTAAGCTACTCTGTCTGGTATTTTCATTGGTATTTGGTCCAACGCTTGCCATAAGCTTCTGTGTTCCCTGCCACTTTACTGAGAGGAATGCAATCCCTCCCAAAGTCCCTGACACTGGGCACCCCAGAAGTGTCATTCCCAATGTGAGTAATGAGCACTTCCAACCCACCAGAGAAATATTGCCCTCAAGATGAAGGGGGAGCCAGGTGTCTGTGGCTAAAGAGACCTCTCCCTGCCCACAGTACCATTTCCATGGCTTTGGAGGAAAGCATGGGACCATGGCTTGCTCATAGGCTGGGGAAGGTGCTGGGGGCATGGGTCCTTTTGACCCCTTGGTCTCTGACAATCAGGAGATCTTGACTCCATTCGACACCTGTCCCAGAGGAGGCAGTGCCCTGTCTCCTCTTGTCCCTCTCTAGGTGCTGCTGGTGGGTACGGCAGGCCCCGTGGGTGATGCCATCCTGCTCGCCATAGAAGGAGTGGACAAGAGCTATGCTGCAGCCGTGCTGAGGGTGTGCCGGCTCTGTTGCTGTGGGGTGACCATTCAGGTCCTGCAGAGGAGCGAGGGGCTGTGCCCAGAGACTCCATGATACCCTTTGTCCTCAGGAACTCCCTGGAATGTGATGGCTCAGGCCGGAAATTCTTCCCCCAAAGAAGCCGAAGTGATCACCGGCCGGTATATGAGCACGGTGCATCAGTGTGTTCGCTGGGCCTGGGTGTCCCTGCTGAGAGACCTCCCTGCCGTTGACCCGGTGACACCCCAACATTGATCCTGTAAAACGAAGCCCAGGCAGAACAGCAGCAAGGACAGCAGCAGCAGCAAGGAGCTTCCTTTGCCTCTTTGTCAGACGTGTCCTCCGAGTCTGACTCCTCCCCTTCCCTCCCTCCCTCCCAGCAGTTGCTGATATTATTTTAGGGTTCTAGCCAGGAAAGGAGAATAATTGGTAAACAAGCAAATCCCATGCCTGAAGAATCATGTTTTCACAGTACAATCAATGCTTTTTGGAGTGAGGGGTTATATATTAAATGGTCAGGATTATTTTGAGACAAAAATGAAGGTTAATGGAATGAAGCTTAGTATTAAATAGCTTGCAGATGTCTTTTTAACCTATGAAGTGGTCGTCTGCTTTTACTAGTGGGACAGCTTGACCAGTGTAATGATTTTCAAGCTACAGAGACAGGTAATATGCCATACATAATTGCATAATATGTAAGAAAAATATCCATTTTCCTCGCACTTTATAAGACAAGTGTGTGCAGGTACCAGATTAATGATGTCAGTCTGGCTAGTTCTACTTGACATTTTTTTCTTAAAATTTTAACATATAGATTTTATACTTCTCGACTCTTATAACCTTGTATGCAGTAATGACTAATCAATTAAATGATACCCCCAAATATTAATATAAATGCTAGGCAAGATACAAGAATTCCCCAGCGGGTCCATTTTGCTGCCTCTGGTTTAGAAAATCAACTTTGCAGCCGGCACGTTGGTGGTGCCACTGTGATATACTCAGGTTTGTGTGGATGCTTCCTGCCTCGCCTTCCTGCCGCAGGGGTGGGAAGTGTGTGGTGTTGAGGTCAAAGGACCGGGCAGGTCCATGTGACTGCTCAGGTGAGGCTGGACCGTCTAACATAGGGGCTTTGGGATCACGTCCACGCCTCCCTTCATGGGTGAGGGACAATACTGTGGTTTCTCACAAGGACGCGCCCATCTGGAGATAAAAGTGAGGCACTGAAGGTGGAATTTGCTCCTGGATGAGGGCCCGGTTTGCTGGCCCCTCCCGGCGGCTGCCCCCACCCACTTGTTTTCCAGCTTGGCAGTGCTGAGCAGGGTGTCTCTGGGCAAACCCCGTCCGTGCCTGCGGAAGCCAGAGGGAGCCGCCTGTGCTCGGCGCCAACCATGGAAGCGGCTTTCAGAGTCCTCGGAGGACCCTCTCCGGGGACCACAGGGCGACGGCCGCTCCTAGCGCAAGGGCGTTTATGAACTGCTTGATAAAAAGGTCAGAGCGATTTAAGCAAAAACGGAAGGCCCTGCTGCGGCTGAAGACCCTTCTGAGGGGGAGATAAGCCCGCTGTGAAATTAGAATGTCAGTCAGCGGGAAAATGGGATTCAGAACGCTTTAAAGCTGAAAAGCTCCTTAGAGACTTTGCATCAGAAGCCCTCATTTTCTAGGTGAGAAGACTGGAGCCCGGTGAGATGGAACAGGCCCTGCAGGGCAGGACTGGGGCTGGACTCTCACACGCCTGGGTCCTGACTCTCGGGTCTTCCCACAACATCGGTCTGCATCAGGAGGCAGAGACTGGTTAGATGTTCAGCTTTCTGCTCTGGGTACGCCTTTTGGGAACCTGTCCCCTGGGAAAGAAGCAAACAGATTACCCCAGTTAGGAGTAGATCCAGCCTCCTGAAGCTGAGGACCGGGAACCCCTGCCCCCATAGCATGCTTCTGAGGTTCAGATGGGGGCAGCGGGAGATTTGGAGGAACATAAGGGAGAAGCGGCAGCAACTAAAACCTTGGCAGGCAGCGGAGGCCTCTCTGCCCGGAGCCCGTTGCAGCAGGAAGCCCCAAAGCCACACGGAACAGTACCTCCTGCCCTCGGCCCCTTCCAGGGAATCGAACCAGCTTCCGGGCCAACCTGGCCCTTGGCTGAAGCCCTGCTCTGCCCTGCCTCCTGCAGCCCCCGCCAAGCACCAGGCCTCTTACGGGTGGTATTGGGTCCCCAACAAAGACATGTCGAAGCCCTAACCCGTGATACCTGTGAATGTGGCCTTATTTGGAAATGGGATCTTTGCAGATGTCATCAAGTTAAGATGAGGTTATACTGGTTTAAGGTGGGCCCTAAGCCCCTGAATGCTACCCTTACAAGAGGAGAAGAGACCCAGAGACAGCACAGGCGGAGGGAGACGATGTGAACACACACAGCGAGAAGGCCACGGACGGCAGAGGCAGAGATCCGAGGGATGAGTCCACAGCCAAAGGGCTCCAGGGCTCCCAGCACCCCTGGGAGCTGGGAGAGAGACCTGGAGCAGATTCTGGATTCTCCCCCAGAGCCTCCAGCCCTAGCACGGCCCTGTCGACGCCTGGATTTTGGACCCGAGCGGTCCAGAATTGCGGGAGAATACATTTCTGTTGTTTTAAGCTGCCTGGCTTGGGGTAGTCTGTACCGCAGCTGAGGAGATGTACACGATGGCCTTTAGAGTCCGCTCTGAGGCACCCCTGGAGACTGCTCCTGCTGTCCAGGACTTGACCGCAGCAACCACCTGACCCGCCCTCATCCCTCCCTCACCTCATTCCCACTCGCGTCCAAATCTACCCTCCTCACCCTGCTGCAATGGCCTTGCGCAAACACACCTCTGATCATGGCCCCTGTGCTCAGCGATGCTTGGAGGCCAGCGTGGCAGCCCAATCACAATTGCCCAGCGTGGCTACGTGCCCTCCAGGGTCCCACCGCATTCCCTGGGCCCCCCAGGCCCTCACGTCGCCGTGCCCACCCTTCGTTCTTCAGGGACCACTGTGGGGTCAGGTCTCAGCATCGCCCCCGCCTCTGTTTCTATTATCAGGAAGCCGCTTGTTCCCTGTCTTGCTAGCAAATACCTGCCCATGTTTTCACATTCGAGCCGGTCCTCTGCGCTCCAGGTTCAAGCAATTCTCCTGCCTCAGCCTCCCAAGTAGCTGGGACTACAGGTCGGGCCTGGTTAGTACTCGGATGGGAGACCGTTTATTCATTTTATAAGCAATCGTAATAAAGACACACGGGGATGTGCAGTGACCTGGTTCTGCCCTGCAGAACTGCTCAGCATGTTTGGGAGGAAAGATGCATTCAGAAACCTCCCTTCAACTTCTCCTTGGCCACTGTGTGAGTGTCTTGATGTCACTCCAAATCAGCATGGGAAGGCCAGCAATGGGGTCCAGGTGGGGAAACTGTGCTTGTGCTGGACACTGGAGGATGCGGAGGCTGGAGCTGCCGCAGCAGAGAGGGCTGGCACTGAGCAAGCCTCGGCAGGTGGGCAGATGGGGGCAGGCGGGTTGGTGGGTCTCCTTGAGATGCCACATTTGCAAGCTTGAGAAGCTGAACTTGAAATCCATCCTTGGAAAATCATTTTGCAAGCAGGTACTAAAGCAATAATTGCCCTTCCCTTGGGGGGCCCTGAGGAATGAGGAGAGGGAACCTGGAGGAGGGATTTTGCAGAAAACTTTAGCCCATTCAGTTGTATAAACTCCAATGGAAATGGAGGGGAAGAGGAGACGTTCGTTCTTACAATTGCTTTTTCAAAAAGCTCTTTTACATCGTTTATGTCATTTCAGAGATGTACGCGCCCAAGCCTGCTCCATCGCTATTGAACATGGAGTGGGTGGAGTGAAGGGCACAGAGGTAAAACATGGCTTTGAGATGTTTGGACTGGGACCCAAGGACAATGATGGTGTCACTGACTGGTGGGGACATCGGTGGGAGAAACGATGAGGCGTGAATCTGGACACCGGCCACAATCAAGCCCTGCTCTTCTTGAGTTCAACTGGGAAAAATGCAGTAGACAACGTGGTAGTGTAAAGGAAGTTTCCAGGGGCTTCCTGTAGGGATTTGGTGGTAGAAGATCAGAAGTTTTGTCTAATTTATCTAAACCAAATTTTATAAGGCAAAGATAAAGCCTATAGAAAGAAGCAGTTTAATTTCACAGTTGGGAAACTGAAGTTATTGTAAGTTTTGGGTTCAATTAGATTGGAAAGTTTACTATACAGCATATCTTTCCCTTTCCTCCTCCCTCCTTCTCTCCCTCCCTCCTTCCTTTCCTCCTTCCTTCCCTCCTCTCACCCTTCCTTTCTTCCATTAACCGATCCATCCATCCATCCATCCACCCACCCATCCACTTTTGTACTTACTGGAAAATGAGCCTATACATTTAGAGTGTTTACATGTATCTCCCATAGTTTCTGAAGTGAAAAAAAAAGACTCAGGGGAAACAGCATGTTGCCTGGCAGAACTGGCGGCTTCCGTTCAGAAGGCAGAAGGGCAAAGTAACTGAGGTTCCTGGGTGGTGTTTTTCTTCTCTGTGTGCAGCCAGCCCTCTTTATTCTTCATCTCTAGGGGCTTCACATAGCTGGGGCAGCCCCACCCTTCAGAAGTGTCATCTTGGCTATAACTGGTCCATTTAACATGCATGCCAAGCACCCATAGGGCTACAAAGAGCCATGGTCCTGCTTGTGGATTTGCAGATTGAGTAACTGGTCAAAAAAGAAGGCATGAGAGATATTCCAAGATGCCTGCAAGGCCAGCCAGCCCTGGCTGATCCCCTCCTGTGTACCCACAGATTCACCGTCATGACCTGTGTCTTGCGCCACTTTTGGAGCATGGGATTTCGGACTCCTCCCCAGTACAGGCCGTCATCTGGAGTTCTGTCGTGTTTCCATATTTCACATGGAGTGATGAATATGCTGGAGATGTGGGCTCTATGGAGAGTGCTGGGCTTCTTCCAGTTGCCATATCTGTTGTCCCCAAGAACCAGTGTCCTCTGCAGCTTGACAGAACCTCTTTTCCCTGGTTCTCCACGCCTTAGCCCACCACCCTTCCTAAAATCTTTTCCTTGGAGCATCCATCTTCCATATAGCTCTATCTTGCCACCTCCTGAAACCACATCTGCTCTCCCTTCTCCAACAGGCTAGTGGGTTTCCTCCCAGAGGTCCACGCAAGACCTTGGCTCAGCAGAGTGGAGGTGCCTCCCTCCTCCTCTGTTCTCTGCTGCTCTTCCCCCGTTCCTAGTGGAAGGTCATCTGTGTCTGCCACCTCACTCCTTGGGTACCAGGTCAGTCGTGATGGCCTGTTAATTTTTCCCTTGTCACATCTTTCTTATTTGTGATTTTATGATATTCCCAGGCCCCAGTGCTAGGTCAGGGCTGACTGATGCCACTCCTGGGAACGTGTGGCTGCTTATCCCCCTGGCTTCCCTCTATTCTGCAGATAAGTGACAGGTAGTGGAGGCAGTGGTGAATGGGCACACCCTGCTCAAAGTTCAGAATGACTGCCATTTCCACCCCTCCAAGACCTGAGGTTGGTCATTCACAATCACATGGGTACTTTCCACACTGGTGGCACCTTGGAAATGATTTGCAGATAGCAGCTCATTGAGTCCTCAAAATAACCTAACAAAGAAAATATTTTACAGATGGGAAACTGAGACCTAGAGAGGTGAAGTGACTGAGTCACCCAGCTTGCAAGTGCTACAGCCCAGGTTTGAAACTGGGCAGCATGTCACTCTTGGATAGCTGCCCATGCTCTACTCCTCTCCCTTCAGCCGAAACCCTCCAGGGCCCTCCCAACAAAGCCGTCTCTGCATCATGTCCCTCCTCCTGTCTCCCTCCTTCGTCCACCCTGCCTTTCTCTAGTCATCCCGCCTTGCTTTATCTTATGAGTTTCCTTCTCCTAAGAATATGTGTGGAGCAGACTGTGAGCTTCTGAAGGCAGGCCACTTGCCTGTGCTTATTACTTAGGACTTTTGTTTACAATTCCTCATCACACCAATCATGCTGCCTCATACATATGATAGTAGCTCAATATGTGTGGAATGCAGATTATCAACTTGCTTCATGCTGACCATGCAAAGGAGAGGTGAGGCTATAGTGCATATGCAAAACCAAGTGAAAACTAAGGCAATTATGTCGATAATTCACGAAGAAAAGCACACTTTTTGGGGGGCTTAATTATCTGGATTTATCCAGTGGGCGTTTTTGAAAAAGCAATTATCCAGACAACAGCCGGAGGGTTCCCTTTCACGTTGAGTGGGTCACAGGGCGCCTGAGTCAGGAGCTTTGTGTTCTGGGGTTGGCCCAGAAGCCCAGTCATTGTTGGATTCTGGGAAAACCAAGTGGCTTCCCCGTGCCGTAGTTTTTCTTTCTGTTATTGAATGAGGCCAAGATCTTCACAGAGCTGGTTCTTGTTGCGTAATCAACCTCCTGTTTTTTGTCTTGTCTCACTTGCTAATTCTCTTAATTCCAACTTTTAGCATTCATTTTATGCTGAGTTTTTCTCTAATTGATTCTTTGGAGCTTTTTATTTCCAACGAGGTTGCAAACTGTGGTGCCAACATCCATTCCCTGCTTTCTTGGTGGACCTGCCCACCTCCTGGAACCCAGAAGTGGACCCTACAGGGCCCAAACCCACAAAGTACTGATGGCTAGGAGTGGTGACGTCACCACAGACCCCGTGCCCCAGTGCAGTGACTCTCCCCTGGCTGCTGGCTTCTGCTGCCTGCAAACACCCAAGGCGACGGCCCCTGGGTGTGGCTCCAGCATCCATGTTTCACTGAGAGAGCCCCTGATGACTGTGGTGGGGCTGACAGTCATGGCAGGGCTTCCAAAGACACCTGTGTCATGAGCTCTGTAGACATCACGTCCCCACTCAAAAAGGTTCTGATTTGAGAACATTTTGGATTTCAAATTTTTGGATTAGGGATGCTCAACCTGTATTGACTTCAAGTGTTAAGGCACCAAATAGAAGATCCATTTTTTGAATCAACCTTAAACGGGATTTCTTTTTTAAGCAGCGATTCACAAAACTGCCTCAATCTATGAGAGACTGTAAAGCTAAAAGAAAACTGCAGAGCCTCAGGGCTAGGCGGCCTGGCAGGCACACACTGACAGTGCGCTATCTTGAATGTGACCTGGTCTTGGAGATTCCATCAGAATAAATAGAGCCACGGCCCCATGCCAGTCTGAGCACTCCATTTAATTATTCAGGGGAAACTCGGATATACTCAGGCCTTGAAATGAGGCAGAAGCTTGCAAGGTTTCAGACTGTGTTCAAACTTCCCCTGCTAGCCAGCCGTGTTGGAAGCATCAAGCATCGAAGCCTCGTGAATCAGCATTTGGAGAGGGAGATCAGCCGGGCTAAATTTGGAGATTTTTGACTCAGCCATCAGTGAAATTCAGCAGTTCCTCCTGAAGCTTTTGGTGACCTTTTGGTTTCATCCAAGCTCAAATACCAAAGGCACTGTGAAAGTGGATAGAATTGTAAACCCTTGCGTGAAGATGGTGCAGCTGGCGTTCTGAGATGAGTTCATCCACCACAGGACTAAACACATCTCTGTGCCTCTAGCTTTTCCTGTGAAGGAATGGAAATGGGGTGGTGGGGAGGGGCAAGAGGTGGAGGCAAACAAAGAGGAGGTGGCAAGGAGATGCCCCTCGCCATGCCTGGCGCAGAACGCAGGAGGCACCCGTCTGGACCTCACCAGTGCCGGCGCCCCGTAGCTGTCTCCCACCAGCTCTCCACGGAGCTCAGAAGGGCCCAAGTCAATGCATCCTCCAACACATCCTCGTGTATTGCCAACTGAGCCTTTGAGCGAGTGTTCAGCTGACACTAAGTGCTTTTTGCTCTCAGCACAATTATGTACTTCTGAATAACACTCGAAGCATCCTTTGAATGTGAAAACGGGTTAGATCAAAACATCAAAGTGCACCTCTGTCCCTAATGATCCTTTTTAATGCATCTGTGGTTTCTAACATTAAGAGAAAATGTGAATTTAGCTGTGTGCTTTTATGTGTCTACTCTGTGACTTGTTTATCCAGGCTATACTTAGAAACAATAGAAGAACATAAAATATGAATACAGTATCCATATTAAAGTATAATAAACATTCTGAAGTATGTGTTAAGCTGTCAGGAGCTCTGCCGGACTGGAAGATGTAAGCTGGGGCTGGGTTCTTCATTGTGTGTGGACTGAAAGCCTCGCTAATGATGCCACTCTCTTCCAGCCCTATTTCAATATGTTTTAGCTACAGTACTTTAGCGTCAAGATCTTTTCCTCAAGCCTTTCTGGAATGAATCATTTCTTCTATTACTTATTGGTAAATATCTTGTTTTTGTTGTTTTTAAATTACAGAATAACTACATGCTCATCATAAATAAATGATGTAGAAATTAGTAACTAAAATAATAATTTCTATAGACTCACCTCGCTTATAATTTAACATTAATCTGTCCAGAATGAATATAAGTATATTCATACACAAAATGTATTGTCTGTAATCTTAACCCATTTATGGCTAGTGTTCCATTATTGGAATGCTAAGCTTGTGGGAGTTATTTGTATCCTACTGCTCAAGGTCATCGCTGTGGTCTGATTTTTCACAAAAAAATTTGCAACCTCCAGCATATAAATGGGCTAATGACATAATGCAAAGGATATTATCCAGCATGTCTTGCTTTCCTCACTTAATGTATATTTAACAACTTTTCATGAATGCCTATTTTTTGGTAGAAAAAGCTAAGTTACAAAATAAGATAAATTAAAAATACACGGCCAGGTGCAGTGGCTCACGCCTGTAATCTCAGCACTTTGGGAGGCAGAGGTGAATGGACAACGAGGTCAGGAGTTCGAGACCAGCCTGGCCAACATGATGAAACCCGTCTCTACTAAAAATACAAAAATTAGTTGGGCTTGGTGGTGGGTGCCTGTAATCCCAGCTACTTAAGTGGCTGAGGAAGGGGAATTGCTTGAACCTCAGGAGTGGAGGTTGCAGTGAGTCAAGACTGTGCCACTGCACTCCAGCTGGGGTGAAAGAGTGAGACTCCATCTGAAAAAACAAAACAAAACAAACAAACAAAAAACCCCCAACATTATGATATAGCTATTCATTGGGCAGCCATTAAAATTCTAGTTATGAAGATTATATCATTACATGGGAAATATGGTAGATGGTGAATGAAAATGATATAAAAGTATTAATATGATATAACATTATTAATAACCAAATATCCAGTTAGGGTTTTCAAACAAAATCTGTTCCTTTTCTTGGTTAAAGTGGCATTATCTTGATGAAAAAGAAAAAAAAATCTTCTGCTTTTTTGGCAAAGTTTCCCTTGGCTGTCTTTAGAGTGTGCCATCCATGTGGATGTCATTTCTCCTGATGATCCGGGTATGATGATGGGGGCTCTCTTCCCTACTTGGAGCTCCTAGGCTCACTCCCCCACTGACCTCACTCAGCTGAGTTGTTAATGGGTTTCATCCTGGCATAATCCCATTTCTATTTTTAAGCTCTTTAGACCCTCTTGGGTAAAACTAGTTTTAACTCCAAATGCACTTTCTTTTTGAATAAATGTGAATTAAGCAATTTCAGGGAACAAAATGTTTGACAATGAACAGGTTGAGTGTAAAGGATATGAATGTTTATTTGGGATATTAAATTCCAAATACAAATAATTGTATTATTCTCCAAATGCAAGGAGTATGAAAGTTGTGTCTTGTATCTTATCCTTCATAGCATGGGAGGTGTTGCTATTTGCTAAGTGTATTCTAAAATGAAATCTTAATTTCCCCCTTCCCACCCCACTTGCTGCAACTCAAATTAGCAAGTTGCACCATCATCCTCACTGTTGCTTAGGCCAAAAATCTACGTGTTCTTGTGGTAGTTAGCTTCTGCCGCAGTAACAGGTAGTCCAGACATCTCTGTAGCTTGCAACTGCAAATGTTTGTTTCTCACTCTGGGGTCTGAGGCTGGCTGCAGCTTCTAAGCTGCTCCTCTTGGCTGGACTCCTTTGGGCCACCCTTCTTCTCACCCAGGACCCAGGCTGGCAGAGAAGTTACACCCTGGGGCATGCTTTCCTCAGGGTGCAAGGTAGAAGTCAGGAAGGACAGCAGAAGCAAATGATGCCTTTTAAAGCCTCTGCTTGTATCTGGCACACTGTCACTTTATGTGCATCCCATTGCTTGGAACAAATCATGTGGTCAAGTCCAAAGTGAAGGTGCAAGGACATGCACTGTCCCCTCATATAAACCTTCACATTATTCTGCAAGTTACTTATGGCTGAGCAACTCCCACGTGCACATGTAAATAAACCTTGCCTTTTCTCCTGTTAATCTATCTTCAGTTAATTTGCAGGCCCCCAAGCATGGGACCCAAGTGGTAGAGGTGAAATTTTTTCTCCTAACAATAGCATATTTTGGCCTAGTGATTCATGATAACTGTAAGTTATTAACAATACAGTAGAATCATTCCAAGTTATACTTAACATTTAAAACTTTCATCAATGATTATGAATGATGACTCATCCCAGGGACACAATGCTTAACACCACCTGGCTTGAATACTGACTGATCCACTTACTAGCAGCTTAACAATACAATTTTATTTTTAAAAATTTATTCATTTATTTATTTTTTTTAGACAGGGTCTTGCTCTGTTGCGCAGGCTGGAGTGTAGTAGTGATATCTTGGCTTATTACAGCCTCTACTTCCTGGGCTCAAGCAATCCTCCCACCTCAGCCCCTTGAGTAGCCGGGACCACAGGCATACGCCACCACACACGTCTGATTTTTGTACTTTTTGTAGAGACAAGGGTTTCACTGTGTTGCACAGGCTGGTTTCAGACCCCTGAACTCAAGTAATCCACCTGCCTTGGCCTCCCAAAGTGCTGGGATTACAGGCATGAACCACCACACCGGCTCACAATTTTATTGTTTTACAGTCCTGAGGTTGGAAGCCCGGCACTGTCCCCCTGGGTTAAAGTGGAGGTGTCGATAGGGCGGGTCCCTTCTGTAGCTCCAGGGGAATATCTGGTCCTTGCCTTTCCCAGCTTCTAGAGGCTCCTGCTTTCCTCGGCTAGTGGCTTGTGGACCCTTCTGTCTTCAGAGCTGGCAGTGTGCGTTTCTCTGTGCCTTTCTCCATAGTCATATCTTCCTCTGACCCTGACCCTCTTTTCACTTTTGAGGAGTTTTGTGATTACACTGAGGACATGAAGACCATCCAGGACAAGTGCCCTCTTTCAAGGCCTGCTGATTCCATCTGCAACCTCAGTGTCGCCTTGCCACGTTACCTAACATAGGCACAGGTCTGGAGATCAGGACTTGGATGTTTTTAGTTTTTTTTTGGAAGTACTGTTCTGCCTTCCACACTCTCTGCAGCTTTTCTGGTGGATGCTGCATCAGAGGTAAGGAGATGCCGCCTGCACCACCCTCCACTGCCCACCCACACACCAAGCTGTAAGGTTGGGTTAAGTTTCTGATGCAACTAGGCAATGTGACCCCACGAAAGGGGCAGAGGGGCACCTGTCACACATGGGCACAGGCTGTGGGGCCAGCTGGCTGGGCTCACATCCTGGCTGCACCTCTCATGAGCTCTGTAAGCTCCCTGGGCCTCCCTTTCCTCACCTGTGAAATTGTCACAGCATGCGCACCTGCCCTCTGTGCCATGTGGGACTTGGGGGAACATCTCTAAAGCCCTTTGCCAAAGGCCAGTCAGGTAGCAAATGCTGTGTGAGGGTTTGGGACATAAACACACACTGGCAGCATGCCTGAGCGAAGCTTCCGTGGCCTTCTGAGTGTCTGGCCAGGTCATTCTGGGAGCTGTCAAATACACCTGGCTGTCTTCCTTTTCTGGTCACATGGTTCTGGACCCTTTGTCCTTTGTTGGGGCCATTGGCTTGTTCTGGAAGCTGTGCTGAGAGCACAAGTGATGTCGAACACCCCAGGTCAGAGTGTTACCATGCCAGAAGGCCCCAAACACAGATGCTCACCCCAAACACATTTTGCTGTTGGCTTCCTGGCCTAGATTCCAGCCAGGGATCCTCCTAAGGAACCTCTCTGGTCTCCTCCCGAGCTTGCAAAGAGAGGTCTGAAGAAAGCTTGCGATTGCTGAGCATGGGGGCTGGAGCACTCAGCGCCTGTCGCTCACATCTTATTTGAATTTCAGAAAAACAGGAAAAGTAAATGCATGAGATTTTTCTATTCAATTTCAAAGCCTTTTCCCAAAAGTGACTTTTGATAACTGTCATTAAAAGGAAATAGACACAGTATAAAAAAAAGCAAAAATCTTATAATGTAAAAATTACTTGATTTCCTCTGCTTTGCCACTGGTTTAATAAAAAAAAAAAAGCTCCTTTTCTACTTAAAGCTGGCATGATCATTGAATTCATAGACTTATGTCGCTGCTGGTCTTAGTGCTTAATATATACAGTGACTCATTCTACTTAATGGCATCAACAACAGATGCAGAGAAAATGCTTCACAAGCCCAAAGATTGCAGTTGGAAAACCCCGTGCAGTGGGAACAATTCTTTACTAGCCCTAATTGAGGGCAGCTACTCTTTGTGCTTGCCTGTGACAGTTTTTTTTTTCTCTCTCTTTTCCCTCCTCTCCTTACGTGTCCACCCAGATTCTGCAACCCATAGATGGTGGTCTGTGCAGACCAGCAGCCAGAGTCTGCCTTTGGCCTCTGATGCTGTTGTCCTCAACATATTTTCTCCTTCTGCACCCCTGCCCACAACTCCTCTGTGCTCCCCCTCCTCAGGGCTACTTCCTACCTGAGGGAAGATCAACCAGAGGGGGCTGGTGATCAGGACCCAGGGCAAGGGCTCCAGGGAGAGTGAGCTCACATTTGCTGGGAACCTGGGAGCACACGGTGCTGGGGAACCTGCCATCCCCCAACTCAAGTGTGAACGCAGAGCTGGATTTCAGCATCACTCAGGCCCTTTGTAATATTTATTTTGTGCATTTCTTTTTTTTTTTTTTTTGAGATGGAGTCTCACTCTGTTGCCCAGGCTGGAGTTCAATGGCATGATCTCCGCTCACTGCAACCTCCGCCTCCCTGGTTCAAGTGATTCTCCTTGCCTCAGCCTCCTGAGTAGCTGGGATTACAGGCGTGCACCACCATGCCTGGCTTATTTTTGTATTTTTAGTAGAGACGGGGTTTCACCATATTGGCCAGGCTGGTCTCGAATTCCTGACATCAAGTGATCCACCTGCCTCGGCTTCCCATAGTGTTGGGATTACAGGCAGGAGCCACTGTGCCCAGCCTATTATGTGCATTTTAAGACAATATTTTATAAAAGGATTAGGAACTTTTTCAGGCGGTTGAAGAGAGCTCTATTAGAACAAAAAAGGTTGAGAATTCCTGGTGGAGATAAAGTGCAGGGAGAGAGAAAAGTTAGAGGACACGCTCCCTGTCCTAGGACTTTGGGGTGGCAGGGCCCTGAGGCTCTGAGAGCAGCCCAGACTTTGCCCTTATTCTCTGTGTTTCAGGGCCTCGCTACCTTTCCAAGGCAACATCGTTCTTGGAGCACCTGCTGAGGTGCTCTCTGCTGGGGGCCGTAAGTGAGCATCGAAAAAGCTGTAAAAAGTATCCCTGCTGCTCTCCAGGGACTCACAGCATGGACGGCACCTGCATTGAGAGAAGACGGCAATGGTATCGTGATGGTGAGTCTGTTGCCGCTGTATAGAGAAATGGGGAGGGAGAACTCAATTGCAACTTGGGAAGAAGATCATCTGGGAGGAGGTGGAGCCTTTCTGTCTTGAAGGTTGGGTCTACCTCCAGGTGTGAAGGAAGGACATTTCATATACAGGGGAAAGAGGTTTAAAGTATGGAGCTGGTGTGTGTGTGTGTGTGTGTGTGTATGTATGTGTATTTGCACCTGGAAGCATGAGTGTGTGTGCACGTGTGTGCTGGCATCTGGGTCTGTGGTCACAGATGTTTGCACATGTGTGCATGTACCTCTTTGTGTGTGCATGTACCTCTTTGTGTGTGCATGTGTGTGTGGCTTATTTGTGAAACAAAACCAAAAGCCAGATGAGGAAACTTTATGGGAAGCGAAGTCTGAAGACAGATGGGGCCCAGGCTGCAGACATCTGGAGGGCCAGGCTGTGAGGGCAGGGCTTTGGCTGTGTGCGGGGCAGTGGGAAGCCTAGTGGGGTAGGAAGGGCCACTTTGAGATGGTGCAGTGGTGACAGGAGAACACGATGACTGAGGCCAAGAGCTCAGTTAATATTTCAAGTGGGATGTTGTGAGGCCTGAAATAAGGCTGACATGGAGTGGGTGGGGAGGAGGGATCTGCATCATGGGACCCCCTACTCTGGAAGTTGCTTGGCAGCTGCCCATCAATCATTGAATAGACATCTGTTGAGTTTCCTGCTTCCTGCCCTGCACTGTGCTAAGTAACAGAGGTACAGAGCATCTCAGTCACCTCCATGGTACTCAGACCCCCTCCCAATGCGGTCACACATTGCTAACAACAGTGCTGCCAAAGGAACAGCTGAGCACTATGTGTGCGGGTGGTGCTAACTCTTGCATGTGGGCTGTGCCAGGTGTGTGCCCAGCGCTTCCTCAGGAGGCATTAAGGAGCAAGCTTCCAGATACCCGCTTCTCAGCCCAGCTCTGGCTGTTGAGCTGCTTCCCCCTGTGGGATGCTGCAGCTTCCTAACTGCTGCAGTTTTCAAAGTGTGCAAATCTGATCTAGAGAAGTAAGGCCACTAGCTCCAGATGGGCCCACAGCTGTTGGGTTCAAAGGGCTTCAACGAGCCACGATTATTATCTGTGGTCTTGATAATAAGATCATTATCTTATTCTGTGTTCCTGTAATAACGACGTGTTTGTAAATGTTGACCCTGCAAGGTGACAGGTAGATAAAAATGCCTATGGTTCTGATAAATAGTCATTGGATATTTATGTCATCCAAGGGTGGTGGCTTTGGAGTGTGGAAGGTAATAATAAGACAATAATCTCGTGATAATAGTCTGAGATGAATTATATCTTTAATTATGCTTAAAATAACTTTTAAAGAATAAGTAAGTGAATAAATAAGCAATGTGACAAATAAACAACTGGTGTCAACAACTCTAGAAGTTTGGGGAAAATAAGTTTCTAAAATTCCTTGACCCTCCTTCCATCAAGAGATGGGGTCTCTGTCCCCCTTTGAATCTGGGCTCCATATTTCTTGGCCAATACCTCTTTCCCCTGTATATGAAATGTCCTTCCTTCACACCTGGAGGTAGACCCAACCTTCAAGACAGAAAGGCTTCACCTCCTCCCAGATGATATCCTTAGAGAATGGAACTTCGTGTCTGATGACTGAAGTGAGCTTAGGCCTCCCTGGCCAGCTACCAGGGCCTTCCTATGTGCTGGCACTGGGAGGTCTGTGTCCTGAGCTCGCCTGGCCCTCAGGCTGGGCACACACCGCACACCAGTGAGCAGCAGCCATGTGGTGCTGGCAGCTTGGTGGGCACAGCAGGCATGGCCACGAATCTAATGCCTGACAATGACAGGTGTTGGAGCATGTGTCTTAAGCAAGCTGGACAAGGTGTGCATCAGCCAGCAGAAGGGAGACAAGGATGAGCCTGCTGCCCATCTACACTCAGCTCCTGTCTTTGTCTTCCTCAGCCAGTGGTGAGGTGATCTATAGTGGTTCTGGGACAGTGTATTATGGCAGAATCAGGTCCTGGGAGGTGAGCGTGGCTTCCTGCCATGAGCTACCACAGCTCAGATGCCTAAATATTTAGTGCACATTCTGTTCATCTTCCTATAGACTGGGCATTCAGAGCACAAAATGCTGTTGCAATTCTTCCTCCCATAGGAGGGCATCTTGAATGTGCCAGGGCTGGTTTCCAGCCTCTCCCATCCTGCTAATGGGTGCACGCTTTCCATGAATTGCTGTGTGATGTTCACACGGAGGTACGGTGTCAAGGGGGTTTGTCCAATCTGTAAAGGGAGTGGGTAGGTTGAATGCAGCATTCTCCAAAGGGTAACCTCATGAATTCCAGGGCCTGGATGGAAATGGCAGCTACCAGGTGGAAAGGCCGTGTGGACTGACTGGTTTGGAAAACCCTGAGCTTAATGCAGGACTGAACTCTAGTGTCTCAGATGCTACAGAAATTCAAGACAAGATCAAGTTCTTAGCTTCTCTTTGGCTTCTCTGTGGTTCTCCTAGTTGCTGTTGGGGGCTCCTGCTCCTTTCTTTCCACCCCATGCAGGTATGGGCGCTGCTTCTCTTCTGCTGAGGGATTCTCCTACACTAGGAAAGGTTCCTCCATCTGCCCCTTCATCAAAAATATTCTTCCTTCTATCTCATTGCCTTAGAGTCTGCCTCTATCAACCAATTACTCCTGAGACTATGAGCTGTCACTCACCATTGTGAAGAGGGGGCTTCAGTATCTCCATGCCTGTTCCTTTCTTTCTCAAGTCCTCCCATGTATGCTACTGAAAATCTGCATCCTGAAGATTCACTTTTTTCTTAGAAGTCTGGTCTCTAGAGTAGGAGCTGGCCACTTTTCCTGGAAGGGGCCAGAGAGTAAATATTTGCCAGCCATGCGGTCCTGTTGCAGCTACTCAGCTCTGCTATTGAAATGTGAAAGCAGCCACAGAAGATGGGTCAGTGAGTGGAAGTGGCCACATTTGGCCCATGGGGAATGGTTTGCCCACCCCTGACCTAGATAGAATGTATCACGGGTCCCCTTGGAGCACTTGTCATTTGCCAAATTATTGTCTTCCCTCCAGCCAGTTCCACCCATAGAACTTAAGTTACCCTTAATTTCAACCAAGGAGTGGAACCTGACCATGAATCCATGCTCCAATGCCTAAGGCTTTGACTCTTGGCTGGCTGGGCAGAGCCAGTGAGTGGAAACAGATGGGGAGAAGAATTGATGCTGTTACTCTACCACTGAGGGCTGTCTGTCTGTGAATGAGGGGTGAGTACCCTGACACTGGGGGTCACCAAGAAATGGCTTTGGGTTACTTTGTTGTGGAAATTACAGGTAGGCTTTGATGGGCTCTGAAGGAAATTTCAGAGTCTGACCTTTAAGCTGCTTCTGATTGAGATTCAGTACCTGGCTTCTCTCCTCCTGTCTTCTATCCTCCCGCTCCCGCTGCTGGGCATGTGGTTGCTGCAGCTTGCAGTGTCCCGTGCTAGCATGCCTTATCCAATTTCCTCTGCACAGTTCAAATATAATAGAAACAGATGCCTGCTAGAAAGATGAATTGGAACTAGGACTATGTCATTGAGTTATTGAATTGTTTTGATGGCTTCCACAGGCTGATGCAGTCACACAGGGCAGCTACAGCTTCAGTTTTGTCTGGCTGTTTATCAGCTTTGGAGTGAGTTGTAACAGAATTCCTTCCTGCACTGTGGACTGCTCCTCAGCTGTGAGAGCCCTGCCACCATCCAGATCCCCAGCAAATGTGATATGTGAGGCTGGCTGGGTGGATGTACCCTGGACACAAAGCTCTTTTCTTGTTTTCCTCCCGCTCACCCAGCTGGAAGCCTTGTCGTGCTATAGTTGCTCTTTTAGCACATCTAGGTATCCCAGGTTGTGGACATCAATAGATCAGATCCAATAGGCTGCAGCTGTCTGTAGAGGGATGTTGGGAAGTATGCAGGTCTGAGTTTTTATCCTACTTGCAAGTACACACCTCAGCTGGCCCCAGTTTCCACAACACTCATGGCTCAGAGACAAAGGCTTTTATTAAAGCTGCATTTCAGTTCTCTTTGAACTGAAGTCCCATGAGCAGGAGGCGGACAGGCCAAGATACTATTTTTGTGCAAAGTTTTCTCAATCTAGGCACCATGTACATTTTGGGTCAGAATTATCTGTTGTGGCAGTGTGTGTGTGAGGGGGTGCTCTTCTGTGCATTGTAGGATATTTGGCAACATCCCTGGCCTCTACTCAATGGCTATTGTTTTCACAACATCTACAGCCAATATGAACTGCTGCTCTATGGTATGTACAAACGTGTGCACTATTTAAACACTGTTGAGAAAAAGGACCTCCTTGGAACAAAGGCAGATGAGTACCTTTCCTGGGTGGCACTGGACACAACGATGCTTGGCCTCTGGTCTGTGGCCCAGAGGTAGACAGTAGGCAGCCACATGAGCTGGACATCCATCCCCAAACATGGGACATTTCTTTGCCATTATCAAAGAGGGGAAGGCCACTTGGTAGACTCATTTTTTCATGTGATTAAGGCCTACTCACTAGTACACTACTAAGTCATTAGGGACCAATAAAATTTGTCATTTAAATCAGAGATGCACTCAATGACAACATACCAAATGCTGAAAATCAACCATCAGCTACATGTTACCTTCACAGGATAAATTTCTAGAATAAAAGAATAAACTTGAATTTTTTTAAAAAATGTGATCATTATATTTTCTGATGGTGGAGTGTAAGTATGATAGATTGCTTCTGTGATCATCCTAGTGTGCATGCTAGTAATGCAAAATGCTTGCCTCCTTCCCACTGGTAGGGTTTGAGCATGGCCAGTGTGAGGAGGTGTTAATGTAGTTCTCGTGGTGAAGGTAGTTGGGTGGCCCTACTACTGAAGTTAATGCTGCCAGCATTATATTTTGTGATAATAAATGCAAATTTAGACCTCAACTGGTTAAAATAATTTTAATACATAAAACATTAGGAGATTTTCACTCCAAGCCATATCTGTAATACTTACATGATTTTGACAATCAATATTCAGATATTGACAATAAATCCAAGTAACATACTTTGTCCACATTATTGGAATTTTTATGCTGATTGGATATGATGGCAGTCTCTGGACCATGTGAGTGCTGAACACTCACAAGTTTAGTGATCCAGCGATGACACTGATACAGGTACGTGTCCAGTTTCCTTCTGACGGCCTAATATGAATCAAATGTCAGACTTTACCCAAATACTGAGGCTTCTGCCTAGTTTATTCAGGACTAATTAAAGTTTCTTTAAAATGTCTGCTCAGCATGGTGGTTCACACCTGCAATCCCAATGACCTGGGAGGCCAAGATAGGAGAATCACTTGAGGCTAGGGTTTGAGACCAGCCTGGGCAACATAGTGAGATTCTGTCTCTAAAAAATAAAAAAAAAATTAGCCAGGTATGGTGGTGCCTATATAGGTGGTACCTCCTATAGTCCCAGCGACTCAGGAGGCTGAGGCAGAGGGATCCATTGAGCCCAGAAGTTGTCAGCTGTAGTGAGCTATGATTGTGCCACTGCACTCCAGCCTGGGCAATAGAGTGAGACCCCATCTCAAAAACAAACAAATAAATAAATAAATAAATTTGTTCTCCTGAGAAGTCTGACATCCCCCTGGGCACCATGGTCAGGATCCTACTGCAGAAGAATTAACCAAGGTGGATGCTGCTTGTATTAGCTTGTTTTCCCATGGCTATAAAGAACTACCTGAGACAATAATTTATGAAGCAAAGAGGTTTAATTGACACACAGCTTTGCAGGCTGTACAGAAAGCATGGTGGGTGAGGCCTCAGGAAGCTTACAATCATGGTGGAAGGTGAAAAGAAAGGAGTCACATCTTACATGGCTGTAACAGGAAGAAAAGAGCAAAGCAGGAGGTGCTACATACTTTTAAACAAACAACTCTCATGAGAACTTACTACCATGAGAACAGCAAGAGGGAGATCTGCCCCCGTAATCCAATCACCTCCCACCAGGCCCTTCCTCCAACATTGGGGATTACAATTCAAGATGAGATTTGGGTTGGTTCACAGAGCTGAACCCCATCATTCTGTCCCTGGCCCCTCCCAAATCTCATGTCCTTCTTACATTTCAAAATACAATCATGCCTTCCCAACAGTTTCTCAAAGTCTTAGCTCATTCCAGCATTAACTCAAAAATCCAAGTCCAAAGTCTCATCTGAGACAAGGCAAACCCTTCTGCCTATGAGCCTCTTAAATCAAAAACAAGTTAGTTGCTTCCAAGATACAATGGAAAATGGGGGTACAGGCATTGGATAAATGTTCACATTGCAAATGTGAGAAACTGGCCAAAACAAAGAGGCTACAGGCCCCATGCAAGTCTGAAACCCAGCAGGGCAGTCATTAAATCTCAGAGCTCCAAAATAATCTCCTTTGACTCCATGTCTTATACCCAGGCCACACTGATGCAAGGGGTGGGCTCTCAAGGCCTTGGGAAGCTCTGCTCCTGTGGCTTTGCAGGGTACAGCACCCAAGGCTTCTTTTATGGGCTGGTGTTGAGTGCCTGTGCTTTTCCAAGGGCACATGCAAGCTGTCAATCTACCATTCTGGGGTCTGGAGGACAGTGGCCCTTTTTTCACAGCTCCACTAGGCAGTACCCCAGTGGGGACTCTGTGTGAGGGCTTCAACCCCACATTTCCCCTTCACACTGTCCTAGTAGGGGTTCTCCATGAGGGCTCTGCCCCTGCAGCAGACTTCTGGCTGGACAACCAGGTATTTCCATACATCCTCTGGAATCTAGGTGGAGGTTCCCAAGCCTCAATTCTTGCCCTCTGCACACCTGGAGGCTTAATGCCATGTGAAAGCCTTTGTGGCTTCTTGATTGCACCCTTTGGAGCAGAGCAGCACCTCTGAAACATATCTGAGGCCCTTTTAGCCACCGCTGGAGCTGGAGCAGCTGGGATGCAGGGAGCAGTGTCCTGAGGTTGTGCAGGGGAGCAGAGCCCTGGGTCTGGCCCATGAAACCATTCTTCCCTCCTAGGCCTCTGGGCCTGTGATGGGAGGGGCTGTGTGAAGGTCTCTGAAGTGCCTTCCAGTTATTTTCCCCATTGTCTTGGCTATTAACATTAGGCTCCACTTTACTTATGCAAATTTCTGCAGATGACTTGAATTCCTCCTCCAAAATGGGTTTTTCTTTTCTACCATGTAGTCAGGCTGCAAATCTGTAATACTATATGATTTTGAATATCAATATTCAAATACTGGCAATAAATTCAAGTGACATGGTTTATCCACATTGTTGGAAACTTTTATGCTCTGCTTCCCTTTTAAATGTAAGTTTCAGTTTCAGATTATTTCTTTGCTCATGAGTACAAGCTTAGGCTGTTAGAAGCAGCCAGGCCACATCTTGAGTGCTTTGCTGCTTAGAAATTTCTTATGCCAGTTACACTAAATCATCGCTGTCAAGTTCAGAGTTCCACAGATCCCTAGAGTAGGGGCACAACACTGCCAGTCTGTTTGTTAAAGCATACCAAGAGTGACCTATATTCCAGTTCCCAATAAGTTCCTCATCTCCATCTGAGACCACCTCAGCCTGGACTTTATTGTCCATATCACTGTCAGCATTTTGGTCACAACCATTCAACAAGTCTTTAGGAAGTTCCCAATGTTCCCTCATCTTCTTCTTATAAGCCCTTCAGAATGTTCCAACCTCTGCCCATTACCCAGTTCCAAAGCTGCATCCACATTTTCAGGTAACTTTATAGCAATGTCCCACTTCTTGGTACCAATTTTCTGTATTAGTCTGTTCTTGCATTCCTATAAAGAACTACCTGAGACTAGGTAATTTATAAAGAAAAGAGTTTTAATTGACTGAGTTCCACAGGTTGTAGAGGTAGCATGGCTGGGGAGGCCTCAGGATGTAACTCCTTCCTCTTCGCCTGCCACCTTTCAATCATGGTGGAAGGTGAAGAGGAAGGAGTTACATCTTACATGACTGGATCAGAGGAAGAGAACGAAGAGGGAGGTGCTACACTCTTTTAAACAACCAGATCTTGTGAGAACTTATTCACTATCATGAGAACAGCAAGGGGGAGATCTGCTTCCATGATCAAATCACCTCCCGCTAGGCCCCTCCTCCAACACTAGGGATTACAATTCAACCTGAGATTTGGGTGGAGGCACAAAGCCAAACCATATTGCTGCATTCTTTCATGTTTCTTAGGCTGTTCTATATTTTTATTGGCTGTTCTTCTGAAATTTAATGATAAACTGCTATTGATTCAGCTTCAGACTTACTAATATAGTTTCTCTAATAATTTTTGTTAATCCTTCAGTGTGTATTGTCGCATGAACTATGATTTGACTATGATTCACTCACACCCCTACCACACAAATACACCACTGAAGTTTGTTTATATACAGTTCCACCACCCCAAATTTGCTTTTACAGTGACAATTCACTTGTGTCATACTTATTGCATCCTTGTGCTATTACAAGTTGTCTTGGCTTATCTGGGGTTCTAACAAGCCCACATAAACTATTTGTACCTTGCTCTAGGTTCCCCAGAGCAAACTTTGCGGCAAGGTACAAATAGTTTATGCGAGAGGTGATCCCAGTGAAGGAGTCAGAGAGTGGGATGCTGGGGAATTTATCCATGGGTTCTCATCTCCCACATGTGGTGGGTTGCCCCGGAGGGTATTGATTTTTCAGGTTGTGTTTGTGTGTAGCTTAGCAGCCTTCTGCTGCTTTGGAATGCAGAGAGACAAGTGGCCCCTGCCTGACTTGGAATTCCTTGCAGAGGTGTATGGAGCTGTCCGACACTGCAGTGCTGAAGTTGGTTGAGCTAGGAGGATGTGGCATGTTATCCATCCTAAGGACCTACTACACAAGTGTAATACAACTACTGGGTTATTTTTCAGGTAATAGGGCACAGTTTTAGAGTACAATGAAAAGTCTTGTGCAGACATAACTTTTTGTCATTTCTCTTATTGATATATCTTCAGTGCCTAATACAAAGTAGAACAAATAAAATTTGTTGAATGAATCAATATAAAATCAGGTGTGTGAGCGCATGTTATTCTTTTATAAAGTAAATAACAATGGTTTAAAAAATATGTTGCTAACAAGAAGTCTACTCTGATAGTTTGTTCCTCTCCAATTCTTTGTCACCTCTCTTCTTTTCTCTTTGGAAAGGAGAAAGGGTCAGAAAGGTGTGCCACAGGCTCTTCTGCCCACTTGCGAGCAGCTGCTCTAAATCACTTTCACTAGCAGAACTACTGTCAAGCTCTGAGGAGACAGTCTTTTTTTTTTTTTTTTTTTGAGACAGAGTCTCGCTCTGTCGCCCAGGCTGGAGGGCAGTTGCACGATCTCTGCTCTCTGCAACCTCCGCCTCCTGGGTTCAAGCAATTATCATGCCTCAGCCTCTTTAGTAGCTGGGACTACAGGCATGTGCCACCATGCCCGGCTAAGTTTTGTATTTTTAGTAGAGACAGGGTTTCACCATGTTGGCCAGGCTGGTCTCGAACTCCTGACCTCAAGAGATCCACCCGCCTCGGCCTCCCAAATTGCTGGGATTTCAGGCATGGGCCACTGTGCCTGGCCCTGAGGAGACAGTCTTTACCCAGGGTTGGAAATCTTGGGACTTGAGGTAATGAGACACAAGACAAGAAGGTTCCACTGGAAAAGATTAACCAAAGGTAGCAGGGAGCCCCTTTCTTTGTTATTTTAATGGCAGGGTTTGGGTGTTCACCTTACCCTTTAGTTTTTACAACTGGGTTTTGTCATAAGCAGCATTTGTAAAGTTTCATCAGAATACGAATTGGCTTTGCCTAGTTTTCAGTCTTCACTACTCCCTCTCCCTTGGGTTGTAGTGGGAAATCATTCAGTGCACTGGCCAGTGGATCAGAAACACATCCTTTTCCAAGAAGAGACTCTGTGTAAGCTTAGAGGAGTTTATTAAATTAGTATGTGGGATATAATTTCACCCAAGTATAAATCCGTAGCTGCTTTTAAAGAAATGAAGTTATATTACAAACAATTTCCCTGTCACCTGCACAAGTCATGTTAGTTAGAGGTTCAATCTTCAGTTCTGTCAGCATGGGTGATCCGTTCCAGAGATGCATGGCTCCTTGGAGGGCCTTCCTTAGGAAAGGAAATCACTCACGAGACAGATGAGCCTTCCTGGCTTTCACACGGTACATGCTGACTCTTCACTGGCAGAGGTGGGAAGTCGTGGATTTCATTACTGCAGTGCACTAAGGGCCAAGGAAAAAAAAATGCAATTTGCTACTGCCTCAATGACTTTGTATTTTAATCAAATGGATAAGAAAGAATCATTAACTGATGCTCAGACTGATTAAAATTCCAGTGAGAAGGAAAAGAAATGAGATTGTGACAGCAACAGAGGGTCGCTCATTCCCTGGCACTCACGAATCTGTAAAGTCACACGATGTTGATTTTCACCAGGAATGTGGACTGAGAAGGCCCCTGCAGATGTGGACAACGAGTATGTGGCCTGATCACTATCCAGACAACACCATCAGTCCACATCCTTGCCACGAAGTCAGGTGCCTACCCTTCCTGGAATGGTCAGAAGTGAATTAAATGTCTCCTTCTATGATGAAAAAGTTTCCTTTTCCCTACACAATTGAATCTTGATATAAAATCACAGAAACTTAAAGATGTGGCCACAGTAGTAATTATCTGGGTATGTACAGGGTCACTGGAGGCATAGGAGAAAACAGCAAATGCATTTGAAAGCACTTCTGAAAGCTACAAAATGCTACTCAAATTTAGAGTGCCTGTTATTGTTATTATTACTTTTCCCATCCCTGTCATTACTCTGATCACTGCTATTGCTAGTGTGAAGTTTCAGACTGCACACACTTTTTCACATACCTTGTCTGCTGGACAGGCAGAGACCAGAGGAGCAGTTGGTCAATGGAGACCTTTTCCACAGCAGATTTCTCTTCCTGATTTACATGTAGCTGTCCCTGGATGAAGCCTTGGGATCCCAGGAGACAGGACTTCCTCCAGGGAAGGAGAAGGAAATCTGGTCAGTGAAGTGTCCCAGTGGAGAGGAGGAAGACACTTAGAGCAGCTTAGTAGCCTCCATTCATTCAGAGTTCATTTCTCACACCCTCCTTCCACATCCCTTCCATAGTGCCTACTATGTGTTTTTCCTGATGCTGCATTCCCTACCTTTCGAGAGGTGAGAAAAAGGAGCACCCACCTCTGACTCCACAGTTGTGTTGTTAGAACCCTCAAGGGCTGCTAGGAATGGCTTTGGCTGCATCCAAAGGGTAGGGCTCCAAGGCACTTGTGCAGGCTGGAAAGTGGGGACTGATCGGCGAAGACGTGGGAAGGGCAGACGATCTTTAGGGAGTAAGCAGGAAATGCGTGATAAAGATTTGATACAGTTTGCAGAAAGAACAGGTGATTTAGAAATACGAAATAAAAACAAAAATATACAATAGCCAAACAAGATGCAAATCAGACCCTGGAGACAAGGTTGGTGGATAAACTAAAATAAAGACATACAGGATACAGTGCCCCCCACACTTGCTGCGGTTGAACAGAGAATTGGGCTTAAGCTTTGTAGTGGTGGGTGTGAAAGGGGATATAGAGCTGCTTACCAGGTCTGCCATTCCAGGAGTCAGAGAATCACCCTGGCCAGCTTCATGGTATGACTTAGATAAAAGCAAAAGAGACTTTTTTTGCTTGCATGCTTGGATGTCATCTCAAAATCTAAAAATCTCAAAATCTAAACCTTCCTAATCTAAACCTTCCTAATACCAAGGTCTTCCGTCCTTCTTGGCTAGGAGTTTTCAGTTCATACCCACCCCAGGCACTGAGATTTCTCTAAGGTGACCATCTTGCAGGTGAAGGGGCACTTCCTCTTGGAACCCCCAGATCTCCTCTTGTCTTCTTCAAGGATGACATAATTCCAGTATTTTGAGATTTGATTTAAATAACCATTACTTACATCATCATCTTGCTGATTTAAAAAACATTCTATTACTAACTGAAGTCTTTTTTTTTTTTTTTTGAGACGGAGTCTCGCTCTGTCACCCAGGCTGGAGTGCGGTGCCACAATCTCGGGCCACTGCAGCCAACCTCTGCCTCCCGGGTTCAAGAGATTCTCCTGTCTCAGCCTCCAGAGTAGCTGGGAATACAGGCTTGTACCACTACTGCCCAGCTAACTTTTGTATTTTTAGTAGAGATGGGGTTTCACCATGCTGGTTAGGCTTGGCTTGAACTCCTGACCTCAAGTGATCTGCCTGCCTCAGCCTCCAAAGTGCTGGGATGACAGGCGTGAGCCACCGCCTGCAGCCCTGAAGTCTTATTTTTTTTTAAATGGCATAAGAACACCAAGGTGGTTATGATTGCAAAAACCTTCATGTGGGGGCTCAATAGCAGTGGTCAAGATAAGAGCACTCATACAATGTTTACTATGTACCAGGCACTATTTTATGTGCCTCATGTATGTGAGTTCATGTGAGCCCTGCTGCACTCTGTGAAGTAGGGCTGTGCTCAGGTAGACCCAGAACCTGGCATTGCCCAAGGTCAAAATATGGTGTTGCTGGGGTGAGTCTGTTCTCCTAACCTCCATGCACACCAATATGTTCTCTAGAAAGGAATGCCCTGTAGTGCCAGTCCTCAGAGACAACCTCTTTGAATAGTGAATCAAACCAGAACATTTCATGCTTCTACCAACATATGCGAATGATGCACATTGTTTGCTCAACTTGCATTTATTCACTTAATTCCCCTTGGATAGGTTTTCATGTCAGTATACAGGACATTTATTAATAATATTCCATTGCATGGATGCACCAAACTTGATTATTGCACATTTGTGTTTTTTATCATGATAAACTATGCTAAAATGGTCTATTGTTTCTTTGTGAACCTTGAAAATATCTCAAAAAATTCCTAGAGGTAAGATGGCTAGACCCAAAAGCAAATGTTTTCAATAGTTAACAGCTATTGCTAAATTGTTCCCTATGTATCATGCAAACATTTACACTCCTATTTGTTTGCCTGTTTCTTTATGCTCTGGTTGACACATAATATGTTTATTAAATGACAATTTTTTAAAAATTTATTTTATGATTCCTAGTTTCTATGCCAATATCAAATTCTAAAGTGTCTGAATCATCGAGATGCAGAAAAATCTTAATTCTGTGACTTCTAAAAAATGCAAGGATCTGTGCCTATGATTGTTTCAGAGGATCTGCCTCTTACTGGGAGACTGCAAAGCGGTGGATTTGGCCATTTGATGTACCCTACTCTGGCAGAGATAAGTTGGAAGTTTTGTTTAGCTTTTGAGAAGTCTCCTACTCCTTTGAATACCTTCTCCAGGATGGCATCTCCAGAATCTTGGGCTTTCTGGTGCAGTTTTGGCTGGGGGATGTTTCAGTGGGTAGAAAAGAGCTCAGTAGGGAGAAGAGCCCTTGGCCCATTTCCCATCCAAATGCTGGAGGAATCATTCACTAGATATCATCTTTTTTGAAGCCCAGGAGCAGAACTATGTGGGGCATCTCAAGGAGAAATCAGAAATCACACTGCTCTCATCCCTGCAGCCAAGTGGGGACACAGTCACCTGGCCTTTCTCCTGGCCAGGTATTCAGTTTGCCAAGAAGCCTGCCAGGATCGGACAGCTAGCTTGGTTAGCACTCTGAGAGTGTCTCCATATTTTAGAGGTAGATTCGCATTAGCTAAGCTAGAAATACTGATGTATAATACCAGAAGGCCCATGTACTTAATTTACAGTGAAAACTCCAGTATGGCTGGCACAGAGCCTGGGTGGTTTGAAGGTGGTGAGATCCTCTGTGGGAAGCTGAAAATTTGAAGTTCATTTGTAGGGCCTAGGATTTAAAGCTGGTTGAGCTGGATGGTTAATGGTGCCAGGCTTCACATCCATTTTACAACAGGCATCCTCTTGCCACTGGGAAGGGAGGGCCAAACCACCAGTTAGGACTTTCATTGAACGGCTGGCTTCTCTCTGGCTGCCTCTTCTTCTCTGCCATCTTTCCCACACCCGTCCTGACTGGCATGCTGTGTGTGCTGCTCCTGGAGACGCGCTGAGCAGGTTCTAGCAGGACCCAGCCTGGGAGCTTCTGCTCTTCAAGGCCATTCCAATCTCTCTGCTCCACCCATTACAGATATGATAGGCCTCCTGGTGTATCCCTGAAGGGGCCTTTCTATTTCTAAGTAAATGAAGGATTCTTCAAGTTAAAATAAAGATCTCTTGGTGAGTGTGAACCGGTTCTGGGGGTTTGGCGTGGGGAGTCAGGGTGAGGAAACAACTGTGAACAGCTACACAGTGTGCTCAGTGTGCTTCTACTGCAAGATAATACTCCCACTGTGAGACTGTGCTGCCACTGTGAGACTGTGCTGCCACTGTGAGAATGTGCTCCCACTCTGAGATAGTGCTCCCACTATGACGAGATAGTGCTCACACTGTGAGAGAGCGCTCCCACTGTGAGAATGTGCTCCCACTATGACGAGATAGTGCTCACACTGTGAGAGAGCACTCCCACTGTGAGAATGTGCTCCCACTATGATGAGATAGTGCTCCCACTATGACGAGATAGCGCTCCCACTGTGAGATAGGGCTCCCACCGCGAGACAGCACTCCCACCGCGAGACAGCGCTCCCACCGCGAGACTGCGCTCCCACCGCAAGACTGTGCTCCCACTGTGAGATATTGCTCCCACTTGCAAGATAGCGCTCCCACTTGTGAGATAGCGCTCCCACTGCAAGATAGCACTCCCACCATGAGAGTGTGCTCCCACCGCGAGACTGTGCTCCCACCACGAGACTGTGCTCCTACTGTGAAATAGTGCTCCTACTGTGAAATAGTGCTCCCACTGCGAGACTGTGCTCCCACTGCGAGACTGTGCTCCTACTGTGAAATAGTGCTCCCATTGTGAGACTGTTCCCACTGTGAGACTGTGCTCCAACTGTCAAATAGTGCTCCCACTGCAAGACTGTGTTCCTACTGAGAGACTGTGCTCCCACTGCGAGACTGTGCTCCCACTGCGAGACTGTGCTTCCACTGTGAGATTGGTGCACCTGTGTTGGTTTTGTATGGGCAGATTTCCTTTCCTATGATGGCCCGTAGTTATTGAGAGTCCTTGCCTGCAGGCTTGTTTGGAAATAATTGTGAGCATTGGTAGTACATCTGCTGACTCCCTGTGTGTCAGAAAGCTAGCGCGTCCAAGCCCTGCAGTGCTGAGAGCCAGGTGGTTTCACGTGAAGCAGGGAGTCCCTGGCAGGGGCAGCTGCAGGTGCTTCTCTCAGTCTGGGATGGGCCAGATGGGTGAGGGACCAGGGAAGACACCAGATCCTCTATCAGGCTTAGCTTGGAGAAAGCTGGCTCTGTGCTGAGACTTGTCAAATATGCTCAGATGTTTACTTTCCATGATTAAAACCCATTTTAATTTTCTCTGTGATATTCTGCCCTTCCATGGATTAGGTAACCTGATTTTAAGGGGATACATTTCTATCCCCATTGGACACCTCCATAAAGCTATTTTCATTTTCAATTTAAAAAAGAAGTGGTTCACACATACCGCTTTTTTTTCTTCTTCTGAATTGTCTGTGCCTTTCCTCCACCTTCCCCCTTCTAATCTGGGCTGTCAGAACGGTTCAGGGGGTATCTGTTCCAGTCCATTCTCCCAGCTGCTGGAAAATCACTGATCTTGAAGCCCCTCTCTGACCACAGGCAGCCCCAGGGTTTCCATAGCTGCAGAATTCACAGTGGTTCTTTTCCAGGTCCTTAGCTCAGCACTCAAGGGCATGTGTGCTCCCTGTGAACTTCTCTCACTCATGGTGATGCTGCACTTTCTCACAGCTCTGGGTACCCACCCCACCCCCATCCTGCCTGCTGCAATCCTATTGATTCCTGAAGGTCTGCTCAATGCCTTCTGCTATGTGCCTCCACGATGCCACATGATACTCCAACTCCTTCTCCATGGAATTCCCATCAAATGACTATTATATTCTCATCCCTTCCAGATACATACATGCTTATATGTTATATAATGCCCAGTGCTTTAAGTTACTCAGCTCAAAGCACTAGACGTTACATGAAGTGGCCATTTGCTACGGACTGACTTGTGTCCTCCCAAATTCATATTTTGAAGGCCTAACTCCAAATTGACTATATTTGGATATACAGTTTTTAGGGTAATTAAAGTTAAATGAGGGCATAAGGGTGGGGTCCCAATCCACAGGGATTAGTGGCCTTATAAGCAGAGGAAGAGAGAGAGATCTTTTGCACTCTCCCTGCACAGACTTGGAGGAAAGCCATGCAGGGTCATAGAGAGAAGGTGGCTGTCTGCAAGAACCTCCCCAAAACCTGACCACGCTGGCACCCTGACCTTAGACTTCCAGCCCCCTGAACTCGGAGGAAATGCATTTCTCTTGTCGAAGCTATCCAGTCTACGGTATTCGTTATGGCAGCCTGAGCTGAGGAATACACCACACATTAAAAAAGTAAGGACTGTGTGCATTTGGGAAGAAGTCATCTAGTCCTGCAATTAGATTTGGGAGGCAACTATAATGCATAAACAGTTTCTGAATTTGTGAATTTCCTATTTCTTTGCTTCAGAATAGTTTGACCTTTAGACATACAGGCTCACAGATTGCTGAAAAATCACAAGGTCTGTGATGAAGCTGTGAAAATAATTGAAAGGATTTGTTTTTCTAACCCTGGCTCTATCCATCTGATTACACTGTAACTAATATTTGCTGCAAAACCTGTGGACAAAAATTATTCATAAACTGCAAAGAAATTGCACAGCCATGAAAGAAATCAGTGTGTTAAAAGGGCCATGTTTTCTCCCTCTAAGCAATAGAGAATCTGTGAGACACTTTGTTGTACAATAAATAAATAAATAAAATAAAAAAAAGAAGAAGGAAAAATAAAAGAAGGAAAAAAGGAGCGACCCTGAATACTGAAGAAACACTATTGAAAACTGTGAGTTTTCAGATTGTTAATATGAAATCCTCTCCTGATGATTATTTATTTTAAGAGGGTGCACGTCAGTGTGATGCTCTTTCTCCCACTTGGGACCCTTTCCAAGGATGTATTAGTTAATACAAAAAGCACTGTCAGCAAAGGCACTCACACATGAGACAGCTGGAATTGATCCATTCTGGAGGCAGAAAACTTGGCAATCACTGGCTATCAATAAGCAGAGTGAGTGACATTCTCAGGATTAGTTGCTTATCCAGAAGGTGTGAGCCCTCTTTAGGGTTTTAGAAAATGTGTGCTTACTTAGGTTGTATTTCTGTGTGATGACGTGTAGGAGGAATGCAATTTACCCTGGATTTTTGTGAAGCAGGGCTGCCATGCAACTGCAGTTATCCAGCAAGGAGCAGACCACATAGGGTCCCAACAAGAGACACCTGGAGCCCAATCACTGGGGGCTCACTTTTGTCTTCTATATGATGGAAGAGCAGTATATGCAAATCATCTAAGCTTCTCTTCTGTCAGCATCCCAGTTTCTTCTACTGCTCTTGCCAAACCTGATCAATTACACCCTGGATCAATGCCACCATCTGTCACAGGTGGCCCCGTGGGTTCTGGGTAACTAAAGGAAGACACAGACCAGCTTTAGAATATTTTATTTTTGTCTCTTGGGACTCCAGGAGCTGAGAAAGTTTTCATCTTTGGTTTGGCTCAAAAAAGAACATTCTAAGTAAAGAAGGAACACTGCTTCCCTGTCCTGCCAATGCCCTGATCCCCTCCCCGCTTTCATTCCTTCCCAATTCCATACCCGCCAACATCCGGTGATGCAGCCGGCAGGAAACACAGGGAGAGACGGGCAGACAGCTCATTCCTGGAACCTTCACTTTATACCGAGAGGTGTTTGCTTTGTGTGTGTGTCCAGCATCTTGCCGTTCTCTGCCAGTGTGCATTGAGTGTTGAGGGTGGAGCAGGCATTTCAGCACCAAGGTGATCGCTCAGGTTCCATCTCCTGTCTGACATCCACTGGCCAGAAAAGTATTGTTGTTTAGATAAGTAACATTTAGATGTGTCTTAGCCTTGGCTGCTGTAATGATATACCATAGACTGGGTGGCATATACACAACAGAAATTTCTTTCTCACAGTTCTGCAAGCTGGAAAGTCCAAAATTAATGTGCTGGCAGACTTGGTGTCTGGTGAGGACCCACTTCCTCATAGATGGTTGTCTTCTCAAGGGCAGAAGCAGTGAGGGTCTCCCTAGGGCTTCTTTTATGGACATTAATCCCATTTATAAGAGCTCCACCCTCATGACCTAACCACCTTCCAAAGTCCCCATGTCTTAATACCATCACCTTGCAGCTTAGAATTTCAACATAGGCACATGAACATTCAGATCATAGCAAGGGGTAAAGCAGAGCTGAAATATTCTTGGACAAAGGGAATGCAGATTTTTTTGTTTTTTTTTTTTTTTTTTTGAGACGGAGTCTCACTCTGTCACCCAGGCTGGAGTGCAGTGGCACCATCTCGGCTCATTGCAACTTTCGCCTCCCGGGTTCAAGTGATTCTCCTGCCTCAGCCTCCCAAGTAGCTGGCATTACAGGTGTGTACCAGCACACCTGGCTAATTTTTTATATTTTTGGTAGGACAGGGTTTCACCATGTTAGCCAGGCTGGTCTCGAACTTCTGACCTCAAGTGATCCAACAGCCTTGGCCTTCCAAAGTGTTGGGATTACAGGCCTGAGCCACCGTGCCCAGCCAGTTGTTCGTTAAATAGAAAAGGAAATACAGGAGTCTTAGAGGAAGATAAGCTTTGATCCAGACACACACAGGGCCTCCCTTGAGTCTAGAACAGCGATGCAATTCCAAAGGAAGTATGTTTACCAAGGTCCGCCTCCCTATCCCTATGTCAGAGCCATTGTGTGCTGACTGCGCTGTGGGTGTCAAGAGTGAGAGAGAAGGTGTGGTGTGAGGGGCTCCACAGGCAGACTCCTTGCTCAGAGCATCTCACTGGACTGCGATGGAGAGCTCTAGGAGAAGCACTTTTCCCCATGCACCCACAGTTCTTTGATGGAGCAACGTTCCCCCAGAACGCCTACAGTGCCTGGGCTGATTCCTTCCCACCCTGCCCTCTCCAGAGGCCAGTTATCAAATCTGGTGCAGAGTGCACTCCGGGCTTGGTGAAGTGTGGAGAGTCTCAGGTTCTTGGTGAGCATTTGGTCCCCTCTGCCAGGACTGCAGGATTCAGAACAGCTCACAATCTCAGAAACTAACAAATCTAACTTTGAGAACTTTCTGGTGTATTTTGAATGTATCCAGGACTTTCCTCCAAAGTTATTTCTTATAGGCAGAAAATGATTTTGTTGCCATCTTGGGAGAAAGAACAGATGGAAGTGGCTTGATTAAACCCTTCTATGAGAGCAGAAGAATTTATAGCAATATTGAAATTGCTCTATTCTTTCTATGAATGCGGGAGGAATAAATCAAGAGGTTGTAAGTTTAGGACAATAATAGTATAGTGATGACTTCACCACTGCACACACTGTTTCTCCTTGGGCTTAGAGAGGCATGCCACAGCATCCTGGAGTAGGTGAGGAGAATGCAGCCTTCAGCCACTTTCCCAGGGCTAGACAGCTCCCTGGCTTGGGTCACAGGATGGAGTTGCCAAGCTCCCAATGCAAAGCCTCTAGATAAACGTGAAAGTGCCAGTCTTGCATTTTGCCTGTTTCGCCACACACTTCTGTATGTGAGTCACAATCAGAAGGGGAGGATGGACAGAGAATTCAAAAGAGCCAGGCTTCAGTGTTACTGCCCACCCAGTTGCTCTCCACAGACCAGCACATTTTAATCTAAGAAAGTGGCTGCCCACGTCAGCAGAGGGCTGGGCAAGCCCATAACTGTGATTGCTGAGGGCTCCACCTTGCAGATGCTGCTGAGCCATTTTTCATACCATTTGATCAAGCATAGCTTCCTACTGCATATTGAGATAGCTTAGTCCTGACCAATCAAAGGGCTCTAGGTGGTTTTATTATTTTAAACTAAGCTGTCTACTCACTCTTGTCTCCTCCTCCTCCTCTTCTTCTCCCCCATCCTGTTCCTCCTCCTCCTCCTTCTTCTAGCTACATAGCAGGTCGGTGTTTGGACTCCATGTGCCTGGGGATTGGGGAGTGGGAGGGGAGGGGACACTAATGAGCTGTCTATCAGAGGATACATTTGCTGGGGATCTGGGTTGAAAGCACGGGATGCCAGGGTTTGGTTTACCAATCTCCTGTCTCCGCTGCTGTAGCGGGTGGCAGATTTTCCCAGAAGTGGCAGTTAGAGAGAAGTGCAGACCCAGGGGTGGTGCTAAGGTGCCTACTGGGCCATGGTCCCTTTCTGGGTCGAGGAAGGCAGGGCAGCCAGTCTTCCTGACAGAGAGACTTGTATCTGACTATTTTGAGCTCCAAGAGGAAAGTGGTGTGCACCTTGCACTGTGCCTTGCTGCAGCCCACAGACCTCAGTGCAAACATTTTCAAAACCAACATGCCTCTCCAAGGAGATGGGCAAACATGTGTAAGAGGGAGGAGAGGCATATCTCTATTCCAAGCTTGCACAGCTTAGTTGCCAACCTTTTTAAGGTAGATTAGCTCTTTTATTTAGGGAGATACTGTACTTGGGATCAGGATCCCACATACTTAAGGCATCAGAAGGGCCCTTTGGGCCAGGAGGCAGGAATTAGGGTTAGGATCTGGGGCCCCTTTCAGAGTTAATGAATTTAGAGCCCAAGGCCCTCCTGGGGGTCTCAAAAGCTTCTCCAGAGTGGAAGAAAAGGCGAGGCTTCCGTTTGGTCTTTATTTCTCAGGAGGCTCCAGGCCAAGGTACAGGACCCTTTGCTGATGTGTCCGTGGGGACAGGGACTCCAGGCCACTGAGGAGATGGCAGCAACTCCCAATGCACAGTGGAGGAAAGTCACCACTGAAGATGTCCCCTCCTGCTCCCTAGCCCATCACCCAGTTTTTGGTTCATTGATTAAACATGTCCTATGCAGGGGGACTGAGTTACAAGCCAGAATGTTGTAGGATACACTGACAAGACCCCCATTAATCCTGACCTGTAGGCTCGAGCTTGTCCAGGCTCTGAGGCCAATATGGCCCCTTTCACAGGAGAGATAAGGGGATGCCCCATCCTAATCTCCAGAGGCCACATCACAGCAGCCTTGCTGCTGGCCCTGACTCCCTTCCCTGGATGTGTCCTTGTTGTGAAAAAAATTCCTGTTCACCCACCTGTTTCCATCCTGGGCTTTGACTCCCCCATCCTGAGCCCTGGCCTTTGCTCCCCCACCTCATTCTCTGGCACAGTCCACGGACACATGAGGGGCAGGACATTTGTGGGAAATCAAAGTGCACCATAGCTGGCCAGCACTGGCCACCCCCGGGAGTGGAGTCGATGGTGGGAGAGGCTGAGGTCCAGCTCAGCAGGAGCAGGAGGAAGGTGGGGATGGGTGGCCAGGAGGGGTGTCCACTCCCAACAGGAGGAGAACACGCGATGGGCAGGGCCTGGGAGCTTAGGGCGTCCACTCATGGTTACGTTTGTTTCCCCAGAAGAGGAAGCAATTAAGAGGGACCGAGCACATATGGATAGAGGTGGAGTTTTGAGTTTGGCAATTAAGAGGAATGAATTTTCTTTGTCTTCAATCTTTGGTATACTCTTGCCATCTTTTAACATTTAGTCCTTTCCACCTCACTTTTCTTTCTTTTAAAACTCTCTCAGTCTCTGAGTGTATTTCCAGCAGTGCCCATCTATCTGTTTGTGGGGACTTCCTTTTCCATAGCTGGGGCAGCTTCTCTGCTACTATTTGGCTCTTCTTCATTTTTTCCAACTCCCGCTGTTGTTTTATGATATTTATCTTGAGCTCTTCTTTTATCTTAATTTTAAATATTTGCTCCATAGAGGACATTTTCATGAAGCCCCTTCCTTCCTGAGGAATTTTCTTGCCATCTGTTCATTTCATAGCTTTCGCTGAGCACCTACTCTGCATCAGGCTGTATTCCAGGGTCTGTGGACCCACATACAAACAGGAGATAATCTCTATGAGAAGAAACCAGAAGGCAGGAGAACTGGAACAAAAGGGGTGTCCCTGCCTGTCTCCTGGATCAGCTGACTTCCTTTTGCACTTTAGGCCAGCACAAAGGGCTGGGGACTCTGGGGGCTCTGCAGCCCATCCACGCTCCTGCTCACCCCTTCATCCAGGAGTGGTCCCTCCTGACATCCTTGGCTTTGCTGACCATGTCATAGGTCTGCAAGGGCTGGTGTCCCCTCCTCCAGGTTGGCTTGCTCAACCTAAGCTGCTCTTCTTCATGAAACTCGGGTCATTCTCTACAGAGGTTCCATTTCCATTCTTATTCATTTTATCTTTTGTTACTTTCAGAGAGGAGGAGGGGTGAGATGTCTGAACATCAGAAGTCTGTTGAGAGGAATGGGAAAGGTGACCACCATATACTTATATTAGTTTCCTGGGCTGTCACATTGAATTACTACAAACTGCAGGACGTAAACATCAGAAATTTATTTGCTCACAATTCTGGAAGCCAGAGGTCTGAAGTCAAGGTGCCAGCAAGGTTGTGCCCCCTCCAAAGCCTCCAGAGGAGGATCCTTCCTCGTCTCCTCCAGCTGCTGGTGGCTCCTGGCAACCCTGGTGGTCCCCAGCTTGTAGCTTCATCTCTCCCTGAAGGGGACCCCTGAGAGAGCTCAGGGGGAAAGCAGGGGGAAATGACTGCCCAGTTCCCACATCGATATGGGGCAACCCCCATTGGACAAGGTGGTTTCAGCAGAGCGGGGGACAGCATTCCCCGCACCCCCCATCCTGGCTCTCATGATCTCAGAATTGAGCACAGAGGAGCTCCTGAAAGTTCACGAACAACATCTGCCCCACGAAAGACACAGGGGCTGATGGAGAATAGCTACTGAGAGCACCCACAAAGGAGCATTAGAAGATGTGGGAGCACCCGAGGATGTGGGAACACCCATGAGGGAGAACCAGAGGTCCTGAAGCATCCACAAAAGAGCACTAGAGGATGTGAGAGCAGCCACAGAGGAGGAACAAAGGATATGGGAGCACCTAGGAGGGAGTATCAGAGTATGTCAAACCCCCAGAAGGGAGCATCAGAGGATGTGGAACCCCCAGGAGTGAGCATCAGAGGATGTGGGGCCCCCAGGAGGGAGCATCAGAGGATGTGGGGCCCCCAGGAGTGAGCATCAGAGGATGTGGGGCCCCCAGGAGGGAGCATCAGAGGATGTGGGTCCCCCAGGAGGGAGCATCAAAGGATGTGGGAGCACCCAAGAGGGAGGACAAATGATGTGGGGCCCCCAGGAGGGAGCATCAGAGGATGTGGGGCCCCCAAGAGGGAGGACAAATGATGTGGGAGTCCCCGGGAGGGAGAATCAGAGGATGTGGGAACCCCCAGGAAGGAGCATCAGAGGATTTTAGCGCCCCCAGGAGAGAGCATCAGAGGTCCTAGGAGCACTTGAGAATGCTTCTGCCATTGGTGAAGAGGGAACAGGTAGAATCAATTTCTCACCATGGATGTTGGCCAGGACCCAAAATATTCATACTAAAGCATTCCCCTTCCATGACACCATGATTTGTAATTTCCCTAAATGTGTCAATCACATGGGAAGGACGGACATGGGGCTGAATGAGATGCATGGAATTGGGTAAATGAAGAGCTCTAAACAGAGTGTAAATTCCACTGAATTCCATTATAGAGTTAGAACCATCCATTTTTGAGTTTCCAAGTTTGTGACCACAAATTTTAAATTTACCATATTACTAATTGACACAACTACCTTCTCTAACATTGGACAAGAAGTTCAGTAAATCAGATAGTCTTCTGGCTGGGTCTTGTAGGATAGTTCTCAATTTGTCCTGATTTATGATATATTTTCCAACCTGTGTACTTACTGTGAACATCAGTGGGCCTTGGCTTAAGGGAAAACAAGAAAACCTGCAGAGAAATATAATCCAAAATCACTTTTCACCTTTCTTCATCGAATCCTCAATGGGTGTCCACCACTAACTGAACTTTAAGTAAGAAACACGTCTATACCAAGCGTCAGGGCCAGATACTCCGGTTACCAAAGGTGGAGAGGCTTTGGCGGTGGGGGATGGGGTGTCACAGAGTCAGCCTCAAAGGTGTATCACAGGGCTGGGCAGAGACCAATGTTGCCTTCTGGGCCAGCTACACACTGGCCACATCCTTTTATTTTCTTCTTTACTGAGTTATAATTAAGAAATAGGAATTGTGTATATTTAGGGTGTACAACTTGATGTTTTGATATATGTGTACATTACAAAACATCACCACAATTAAGCTAATTGACATGTCCATTACATCACAGTTACTTTTGTCTCTCTCTCTCTCTCTCTCTGTGTGTGTGTGTGTGTGTGTGTGTGTGTGTGTGTGGTGAGAACACTCTAGATCTACCTCTTTGCTTTAAAAAGGAAGAAAATCCTCCATCCAACAACGTAGATGGCCCTGGAGGATGTTATGCCAAGTGCAAGAAGAAACGAGAAGGACAAATGCTACATGATCTCATTCCTATGGGCCCTGCAACAGCCACATCCTTCTTGACTGAAGACATTGGCCTTGCCTTCTATCAGGTTTCCCCTCTCCTGGGGTTCCTCTGCCTGCTCTCTCAAGACACATGGAACATGTACACGTGCCCAAGATGGATCGGCCGCTCAGCCGAGCCTCCCAGTGCTGCCTGCCAGGCTGGAGGGACCCGTCTTCTAGGGACATTGCACTCCCCTGCTCTTCTGAGCTGACCCAGTCTTGAACCCCCCCTTTTTTTCTGGCTCATGTGGTGCTGCCTGGTGTCAGAGCCTGGCCTTCTCATATCTGCCTTGTCCCTGCACAGCCTGAACGCAGGCCCCCAGAATAGTCCTGGCTCAGGGCCTGGAAAAAAAATCACCTAGTCAGAACACCAAATTACAACTCAGAAGGTTGCTTAGTGAGCATAAAATTGGAGCAAAGAGAAGTGGATATTCTGAAGGGATGCTTCCGATGTGCTGTGGTAGCAAGATGCATTGTTCTTTTCGACTCTGGGGCTATTTCCAGAAAAAGACCTGGGAGGGGACCTCTAAAATTGGGACATCCATCCTCCCAGACAGTGCTGAAGGGCATGAATGCACTCCTCCCTCTCCTTCCTTTGTTTAAAATATTCCTATCATTCTCCAAAGGCCTCCGCAATTACAGCATTATGCATTACAGGTTTCAAGATTGCATTTAATCTTTTATTAGTTCCATCTGCATCACTTGCTTCCTGATGAGATTTTGAGGAGTTGCCTTAATCTCATCAGCCCTGTATTTACAGATCTTATCCTCATAGGATTGCCTCTGGGAAGATTTTTGCTGATGGGCAAATCTAACCATTAGAGTCAAGGCCTGGATTTCATGCCACTAATCATGTCCATAGCCTGCATGCGGACAGATCACCTGCCCCCCTCGGGTTCCCAGGGCCTCCTGCTCCCAAGCTCCTCTGCCTATTTGCCCACAGGCTTTGCTTCTCTCCCAATGCAAGTGTGGCTTCCTCAGAGGCAGGTCTCTGAGTCTCCTGGCCAGGAAAGACCCTCTGATATGAACCTGTAGCACTGCACACCTCCCTTCATAGTGCCCAGCCGTCGTTATTCTTCCCACCTTTAGGGTTTGAGTAGATGACTGTGTGTATTCATTTCCTAGGGCTACTGTGACAAAACATAGATTAGGTGGGTCCTACAGTTCTGGAGGCCAGAAGTCCAAGATGAAGGTGCCCTCAGGGGAGGATCTGTCCCATCTCTCTCCCTAAGGCTCCCTTAAGACTCTAGGGAGGATCTGTCCTGTGCCTCTCTCTGTTGCCCAGGCTGGAGTGCAATGGCATGATCTCGACTCACTGCAGCCTCCGCCTCCTGGGTTCAAGTGATTCTCCTGCCTTAGCCTCCTGAGTAGCTGTGACTACAGGCGCCCAACACCACGCCTGGCTAATTTTTGTATTTTTAGTAGAGGTGGGGTTTCACCAGGTTGGCCAGGCTTGTCTCAAACTCCTGACCTCAAATCATCTGCCTGCCTCGGCCTCCCAAAGTGCTAGGATTACAGGCATCAGCCACCACGCCTGGCCCTCTCCCAGTTTCTGTTGGCCACAGAGGTCCCTTGGCTTGTTTCCACACTGTGCACTCTAATCCTCCATCTTCACATGGCCGTCTTCTCTCTGCATTGTCACATCATCTTCTCTCTGTGTATGATGGTGCCCACGTTTCCCCTTGTTTTAAGGACACCAGACATATTGGTTAGGGCCCAAACCCTGAGGCCATTAGGCCTGATTTTACCTTGATTATCTCTGTTGGGACCTTCTTTCCAAATAAGATCACATTCTGAAGTCCTTGGAGTCAAGACTTCAACACTCCATGGCATCCTAACGAAGTCATTGACTTTCTTTGTTGTTACTTTCAGCATATCCCCTGTCTGGCACAAAGGGAGCACAGTTGACCTGTGAACAGTGCAGAGGTTAGGGACTCAGACCTACCTTGCAGTAGAAAATTTGAGTATAACTTTTGATTCCCCCAAAACTTAAGTACCGATAGCCTCTGTTGACCAGGAACCTTACTGATAATTTAAACAGAAGATAACACATATTCTGTATACTATATGTGTTATACGCTGTATTTTTACAATAAGGCAAGCTAAAGAAAATAAATTGCTAATAAAAAATCGTAAGAAAGAAAAATATTTACCATTCATTAAGTGGAAGTGGGTCATCAAAGGGTCATCGTCCTTATTATCTTCATGTTGAGTGAGCTAAAGAGGAGGTAGAAAAGGAGGGCTTAGTATTGCTATCCCAGGGATGGCAGAGTCAGAAGAAAATTCACATAGATGTGGATCCACAGGGTTCAAATCCACGTTGTTCAAGGGTCAACAGTACTTCATAGCTGTCTGTTGAAGTATGAATGAATGAATGAATGAATGAATGAAAGACGGTTATCTAAGGTCAGGTCATCCCTCCTCCAGGCCCCATGCACATGTGCTACCCTTCACCATAGAACTGCTCACAGGCAGCTAGAGGTGGTCTCATCATCCAAGACCCAGTCTTTCTCCTCCAGTCCTCATGATTGAGAATCTGAGTTTGTGGAAATATTCAATGAATTTGCTTTTATCTTCCCTCCCTCAGATTAATGAACAGGAGAAGGAGGTGGGACAATAGAAAGAATATGGTCTTGGTAAGGGGCATCATTGCCAGATTTAACAAATAAAAATATAGGATTCCCAATTACATTTGAACTTTTCCCAAAATTGTGTAAGATGTGTTTATTAAAGTTATTTTTTGTTTATCTGGAATCCAGATGTAACTAGGCATCTTGCATTTGCCTGGCAACTCTGCTGTGGTTGGCACCTTATTGGTGGACTAGATTATTGAAAGTTGCAGGCAGATCCCTCCACAGATTGAAAAGTGGGAGGTAGAAGGATGAGGAGCAGATGTGGGTAGGGCAGAGACTCAGGTAGATGTGCAGTGGCTATCTTTGGTCTTTCATCCTGTTACTCCTGTTTAGGAATAAACAGCTCCAGGACACCTCTCCGCTTGTCACCTCTCCCTCTCCATTTATGCCATTTTCTCTCTTTCTGCCTCTTCTTTGCTTCGTCTATGTGTACTTACACAGTTCTTACATGTAATTACTGACTTAACACTAGTAGTGTTTTCTGTTCTAATCCCTGTCTGCAAGCAATTGGCCTTGCATCAGATGCCCAGGATTGACTATTCGACTTCCAAGGCCATGTTCCCACTGTGAACTGACCTTTCATTGTTTGTGGATGACTTCCAATTCTCCACACTCAGGGACAATCTGGGTTTTACAGAGAAGCTTTCTAGGTACTAGGTGACAAGGTCTATTGTTATTCTCACCTACAAAATGGCAATAGCAATAGGCTAACCTCATACATTGTAAGGATTCAATTCAATAACTCAATTAAGGTATCATGGATGTAGAATATAGTAAGCACTTAAAGATGTTAGCTATAATCATTATCATGTTCACCACCACCACCACCACCACCACCACTATTTCATTATTATTATCATCACCATCATCATCACTATCATTGTCATCATCATCACTACCACTGTCATCACCATCATCACCATCATCTCCATTGTCATCATCTCCATCATCATCATCACCATCACCATAATCTTCATTCTCACCATCATTACCATCACCACCACCTCTATTATCATCATTGTTATCATCTCCATCATCATCATTACCATCGCCATCACCTCCATTATCAATGTCATAATCACCATCATTACCGTCATCATCACCATCTCCATTATCACCATGATCATCATCTCCATTATCACCATCACCATCATCACCATAATCTCCATTATCACGATCATTATCATCATCATCACTATTACCATCATAATCATCATCTTAAATCTCACCATCATCATCGCCGTCATTACCATCACCATCATCATCACTGTTGTTAAAAATCATGAGCATCATTGTCACAATCATCATCATTTCACCCATGTATCTGTTAGGATGACTTTTCCCCCTAAAAACCTGGATTGAGTTTAAGTTCTTATTTCACCCCCATGGAATAACAGTGCTTTCACCAAAATTTTAATAAATTCTCCAGCTGCATACATCCTAAAGGTTGCCTTTGGGCCAACAGGATCCTGCTTCTACTGACTTAGTCTGCTGTAGCAATTATCTTTCCAGTGAGCAAGTATGATCCTCTATCTGCATGGCTTTGATCCTGACATGAAATTCATCACTCACCTAAGAGTTTAAATATGTAGAAGACTTTACAGAACTTTCAGAGACATGGTAGAGTTAGTATTGTAGCTATGCAAACTTAGTTTTAGATAGTTCTGTTCACAGCAGCCCCTCTCCATTTCTTCAATCTGTTTCTCATACTTCTGCCATGTTAGCTCCTTCTTTCTTCCTCTTATTCTCTCAAACCAACCCCCAATTTCTTTTCATATGTGCTGCATCTGCTGATAATTTATGTTCTCAAAGCCTTCCTTTTCTTCTAAGTAGCTCATTAAAGTGTTTCCCTAAACACTCTTCCCTTTCTAAAACTGAGTCTGGCATAAGCTATTCAAATATTAAAAGTTCTACTGAACTACAATTGGTTTGAAAGCTGCAGTGAACAGACTGGACTGCCTTCTTTTAAAGCACACTTTCCCTTTTAGCAATATAATTCTATTCAACTTTTGCTTTCAATGTGTGGCACCAAATCTCTTTCATCTCAAAAAGGCAGCAGTCTTTTCAAGAATACTCTGGAAACACCTTTCCCTTAAATGTTTTATTTGATTATCAGCACTGCATTATCACTATTTTCTAATTATCGTCATACGGTTTTGGTCACACTTAATGAATAAAAAGTAATGGTAAAAAAGAAACCCATTCTAAAAAGCTTTCTCAAGATACAGTTGAGAAAATCGAAAGATTTAAGTGTGTGCTGGCTGAGAAGCCAGACTAAAGCCAGCCTCAGAGGATGGACTTCCATGCATGCAAGCAACTGCTAGAAAGGCTGCCCGGAAGTGTTCCTGCAATTTAATCCTGAGGCTCACATGTCAGCATTATTGTTGGTGATTGGGTTTGCTTCTGAGGGAGCAGAGAGAATTCAGGATGTTGGCGCTGAGCCCCATTGATCTGTTTGGATGATTTCAACTTTCCTAAGCACAAACTCTGTGTGCCAAGGGGTGCGCTTCAGGTGGAAGCATGAGAAGCACTTCATTTTAACACATGGGAACCACCGCCTCCACCGGCAGAAGCACATCCAGGAAAAATCATTACACTTCTGACTGTGAAGGAGTCTACTTTTGGGTCAACAGAGGTTTCCAAACCTCATTATTACTCTAATATTTTGACATTGATAAATTGGATTCTAACACTGTCTTCTGGGTTAATGCCAGAGGACTCTAGAAAAGATATAAATAAAGGCTTTATAGGGGAAATTTCTTTAATTAGGGAAGCTGAGTAATTCACAATTCTGCAACACAGTAGATAGAGTTATAGTGAAATTGCACTCTGCGTGAAATCCACCGCGGCTGTGCATTTACAGTAAATGCAGCTTGAAGATTTAAGCTGGCATGAGCTCAAGGTGAGAGCTAGTCAGCTTATGTTGCAGAAATGCAGAAGGTGCAGTGAAGGGGCAGCAAGGAGTCTCCACTTAAAGCCAGCGATTTTTTCTCTCTATTCTGTCTTCTTAACTTGCTGGCTTCAACTTTCCTCCTCTCAGTCCCAGCTCATGGAGTCTGGGGAAAATTTAGGGCCTGAAAGCTGCCTCTGCAGAAGCAGTGTGCAAGGGGGTACTAGAAGCCTAGGTTGAAAAAGAAGAAGAATTTGCTGGAAGGTGTAGTTGGGACCCCTGAACTCAGAAGAAGTATGGAACTGAGGTTAGAGCCAGGGCTGGTGGTTTCATGCTGCACTGGAGCAGTGACATGAGAGCTGACCCAGGTCAGGCAAGACAGGCCAGCGGTCAAGGTGGGGTGGTTAAGGAGGCACCTCAGGAAGCAATGTCCAATATGGGAGAGCCTGGCCCCTGATGGGACAAAACACGATTTGGGGAAAGGAGGTTCTACAGCGTGAGAAACTGCCTGCCTAGCCCCCCATCTCCTAATAAACCATAGGGTCTTGTGGAGGGGAGCTGTGTGATCCTCACCCTGTATCTTTGAGATAAGGGGTACCTTTATGGGGACAGAACTGGTGGCTCACATGAGCAGGCGTGTGTTTAAGGCATGGTGCTGGTAGCCTGTGCTGGGTGGGCCGAGGGGAGGGGGTGGCCAGGGGTTGGTGCAGGAACCCCTCTAGCTCCTGGCTCTGACTCTCTCTCTTCATGGCTCATCTCTCTCTCTGAGTTCTGCACCAGTTTGTGGCTGGCTGCTACTCAGTGGCCCAGGTCTTCCTCTCCAGAACTGCATGGAGAGCGCACACCCCCCTCTCCCCAAAGCATTCTTTGTGAAGCAACGTGTATAATTGCTTGCTTCATTCACGTTACAGTGGATAAAATATCTAGAGGTTGATTAAATACTTGAGCCCTCAGCAATATCTGCTAATTAAGTCCAGATCCCTGTAATCTTATGAGCAAGTAATGTCTAGCCACACCAGGGACACACCTACACACACATGAGTCAGAAGACTGGCTGGAGATTAGAGTTTCTTCGGGTGAGAAGCACAGAGTGAACACCTGCCTTGGACACTGGGGCTCACGGGCACTCTCAGGTGAAGGTTGACAGGGGACTCTGCTCCTCTGCAGCTTCTCCCCCTGGCACCTCCACCAGTGATGAGCACGCCAATGCCCTGGGGAGCCAGAGGCATAAGAAATGCCAGTAAATAAATTGGTGGAATTAATAATGAGTATAGTTTTGCTGCTAAATTAATGCATAAAATAAAAATTCTACATGGAAGCAACATACATTTTAGAAATAAAATTCAAAAAGTATTTAAAACTATGAAAAACATCAAAATTGTAAGACAAATAACATAAAATATATGTAATACCTCATGAAGAATACTATTAATGAGAAAAATTTGAAAACTCAACAAATGAAAGGGTCTATTATATTTATGGATGGAAAGATTCAATACTGTAAAGATGTCAACTCTTTAAAATTGATCTACGGGTTACTGAAATCCCTATCAAAATCCAACAGGGTGTGTTTGACTTGACAAACTGATTCTAAATTTCACATGGAAATGCTATGTCAATGAGGAAGATGATGTGAGGGTTTTTTCTTTGGAATATTTAACCTTATATAAGCTATGAGGGGGCCCTCTTGAGGTGCTGGCAATTTCTTGACCCAGATGATGGTTACATTGGTTACAGCTGTGGGTTTTTGTTTTATGCATTCTTTAGGTATGGTATATCATAAAAATAATTTTTAAAAGAGCTGATATATGATACCAAGAGTAACCACATTTCTCTTTAAAAGCCCTAAATATTCCTGGTTTTTAAAAATTAATTTATTTTATCACCTAAGTAAATGATAATTTGAAGAAACAAAAAGCTCAGATATTGACAATTTCTCTATTTCCTTTGAGACAAGACACATTGTCCATTAAGCAAACGGTTTTCTGGGATTGGACTTTTGGAACTCTACTGGAAATAGGGGTAATGGAATGACGGCTTCTCCCCTCCCCCTCCTCTTCCTTCTCTATTCCGCTCCTCCCCTCCCTCCTCACCATCTCTCCTCCTGCTGTGATCTGACTGTTTACATCCCCTCCTTCACTTCCAGAATTTATACATTGAAATCCTCACCCCCAAGTTTATGGTGCTGGGAGATGGGGCTTTGGGAGCTGATGAGGTCATGAAGGTGGGCCTCTCATGAATGGGATTAGTGCCCTTATAATAGACACCCCAGAGAACTTCCTCACCCCTTTTGTCCACCATGTGAGGAATCAGTGAGAAGACAGCTGTTTATTAGGAAACAGGCCCTTGCCAGAAATAGAATCTTCCAGAATCTGGATCTTGAACTCTCATCCTCCAGAACTGCGAGCAATACATTTCTGTAGCTTGTGGCCCCACAGTCTGTGATATTTTGTTACAGCAGCCCAAAGGGACTAAGACATCCCATTCCCTTCCCGTCTCCTTTTTCTTTTCCTCCTTCCCCTCCTCTTCTTCTTTCTCTCCTTCTTCCATCTTTTTCCCTTCCCTTCCCTCCTCTGGACCTTGCCTTGAATATCATTGAGTAGGTTCAAGTGCTCAGGGCTCTGGTTAAGGACGTGTGAGGTTCTGAGAGACCCCTGCCCAATAGCCTCCCCTCATCTGCCTGTTGATCTGAAAGTCACTACTGGGGTTAAGGCTTGTTTGACAGGAAGTGCGAACATGTAACTGAGGGGCCCTGACCCAGGACTGGTAAGCACTGGGAGCCCAGGGGGCACCTTGACACTCTGGTATGCTGTGAGCCAGCACCCTACTAACACCAGAGTCTTCACCTGGGGCTCCTTCGTGGATGAACCTTCCTGCATGTCAATGAGACATAATACCTACTTCCTTTTTACCACAGTGGGAATTGGAAAGATTAGTTTTAATTAAACTTATTTACTTTGAGTTCCTCTGAGAAGTGGTTTTAACTAATACAAGAGAGCTAGAACAGCACTTCTAATTGGGATAATATTAGTGAGCAGTAATGAAAGAAATCCAAGATTATGTGAATAGTCATTCAGTTAAAAGGGGTTTTCTATAAATACTGTGTGATATTGTATTGAAATTAGAACTTTCTTTTAATTTTCTTGACTCTTTAGTCTTTGAATTACATTTAAACATGTTATTTTATTGGTGGTGACATGCTTTAACATAATAATTTTCTCTTCTAAAATAACCCATTATATGTTCTGGTTTTAGACAGGGAAAGTATTCTTCAGATAATAAGGCCTTTATATATTTTGAGCCCATACCTTTGTAATAAAATATAAAGTAGTTAATCTCCTAAGCTGCACAGTCTTTCTACAACACCCATGGGGAATTCATAGGTATTAAATTAGCTACAAGGGGACTTTGAAAGTGTTCTCCAAATGCAGTAAAAAGATATAGAGAAATCAAGAAAGATACTGAGAATTACAAGAAAAAAATCACTAATACCACAGTCTACTAAGATTTCAGTACAATTTGTTTATAGTAAGTTTTCTAGTTATTTGGAGTTTTCTGAGCTGAAGTACTGTACGTGATGTTTCACTGTGAGAATCAGAAGGTAGTTGTTCACCTCTGAGCTCGCTCAGCAGGATGTATGTGGCTTGCCAGCCTGTGGCATTCTAAAATATTTGAATTCATCACGTCTGCTTCTCTGACAGCGGCCAGACTGATCACCTCTGCCGGGATGCTGGTTCATAAATTCCAGCTACACACATCCTGTGTATTGAGTTAGGTACCAACCAGCCTTTCTGTCTCCTGAATGTAATAGGATCATGGGGATTATAGAGTAAACATTCATGTGAGCCTGGCTCTTGGTATCTATTTGGGATTATCAAGAAGTTTGGTCCATTAGAAAGAAAATAACCCATCCATCATAATTTGATTTAGAAGGATAACTTTATTAATGTGTGGTGTTTTGTCCCACTGGAAATATGAGAAAGAGTTCCTTATATTTGCATTTTAAATTTCTTTCCCATGTTCACCTGCTAAAGTAATAAGTTCAAAATTCAAATGGTAGAAAAGCCACTCAAAGCAGATAGATTTCTAAGAAAAAGGGAGATTTGGAAGATCTGGTGAGTCTGAATTCACTCTTCTTCCTCTAAGAAGTTCAGCACCAAGGTCAGTTCTGGGGGGGGCAGTTGCATACCTCCAAGCTCCTCCTGCCCTCGAAAAGTGAGATGAGAATAATTTGAAGAGTATTTAATAAGGGATGCTGGTGGATGACTGTGATCCAGCCCTAGCTTTTCTCTTCGGGGTTATCGTTAGAAGAGAGCCGTGATTCTGACCGGCTCTTGGGAAGAGCAGGATCCAGATTGCAAGGTGTGGACTCACATCTCTTACTCTTTGCAGTATTTCTGATCACAAGCATAGAGGTGTGGGAGTTCAGGCAGGCTGGTGGGAAAAATGTTAAAGATAGTTATAAGAAATAGACACAAACCTTCTTAGAAGGCTGTGGGGGTTGCATAACTTCAGTAATAGATCTGGCTGAAAGCAGCCTAATCCTCTTACCTTAAGTAAATAGCTTAAAGTAGATACAAATGAATGTAAGGGAGTTTATCTAAATAATTTGTTTACTCATGTGGTCCTAAAACTAACCCTTGATCATTTGTGGGCAGGGTGGCTCTCTCAGGAGGAGGGTGACCAGGTTAATTACACTCTAGTGGTGTTGACTCAAAGCTTTTGTCATTTAATGTGTGCTGAATAAATGCCAGCAGGGCCAGCGAGTCAGGGCCACAGCTGCTACAACTCTTTCAGTCAGCGGCCTGGCCCCCTAGCCCACTCTTTCACTGAATATCAGTGTCTGAGTACATTATTCATCTGTTGTGCAGCTGGGTCTGCGGGACGGACCCCCACAGAGAGGAAGTGAGGGGACTATTTAAAGATGAACAACTTCTGGGCTGAGATGGCTTTGTAGGACAGAGAGGGGCCTTAGATACTGAACTTGTTTCTGACCATTGTTGTTGTTCTTGCTTTCTTTTTTTTGAGATGGAGTCTTGCTCTGTCACCCAGGCTAGAGTGCAGTGACACAATCTTGGCTCACAGTAACCTCTGCCTCCAGGGTTCAAGCAATTCTCTGCCTCAGCCTCCTGAGTAGCTGGGATTACAGCACCCACCACCAGGCCTGGCTAATTTTTTGTGTTTTTAGTAGAGACATGATTTCACTGTGTTAGCCAGGATGGTCTTGATCTCCTGACCTCGTGATCTGTCTATGTTGGCCTCCCAAAGTGTTGGGATTTCAGGTGTGAGCCACTGTGCCCGGCCTGGACCATTGTTTTCAGGGCAACTTTACCCATAGTGCCAATAAATATTTGCTGAATGAATGATTAAATTGTCTAACGTTGCTCTCCCTCCTTTCTTTTTTGCATACACCAATTCACTTAAACAATATTTTTCTGAAGTCTAATACTACACATACAGAAAACTTCACAAGCATAAACGTTAACTGTAACCTATTATACTGTGAAACACAGCAATGAAACAACCTGTAACTGCTTATCAAATTCAGAAAGAGAACATTTCCAGCGCCGTGAAAGCCCTCCCTTGTGCCTTCTCCCCATTACTGCCCTCTCCACTCTCCTTCCTTACAAGCCACAAACATCCTGACTCTTATGATAACCCCTTCTTGGATTTTCTTAAGTGATACCTGGTAGGTACCATCACTAAACCCGATAGTAGATTTTCGTAAATGGAATTGATGAGTGTTTTATGTGATGCCTGGCTTCTTTGTTCGCCTCATGGGTGTGACACTCGCTTGCATTTTTGCACGTAGCCCCAGTTCTCTAATTTTCTTTGCTGTTTAGTATTCCACGCGTGAATGCAGAACAATTGGCTCGTCTTTTTATTGTTAGTGGAATAGATGCACAACATCTAGATGGTTGACATGGCTTTAGCTCTTGCAATGATGCCTCCCTGACTGTCACTCTGCATGATTCCTTGTCACATCTGCAGGTGCTTCTGTTGGGAGTACACTGAGGCTGGGCTCCCCGGGTCAGGCATGAGGGCATTGAACAAACGCAGATGAACACACATTTATTTAGGGACATATGGGTACTTTTCTTGCTCAGGATCTGCCACTTCGCACTGGCACAGCATGGCCCATAACCCATAAACCCATTACCTCATGGCTGACACCGTTAGGGCTCCAAGATAAAGTTCCCCTCATCTCATGTTGCTCTGAAAGCTGGGAGAGGCTGCGAGTCACAGCCCCGCTGCTGTCAGAGATGGACGGGACTCTGTGGTGTGGGGAGCTGGGGGTGGCTGAGGTGCTTGGCTGGGCCTGCAGATGCCCTGCCATGGTTTGAAGCATGACAATGATTTTTCACACTGGCAGCTCAAAAAGTTTCAACAGGAGAATTGTGAACAGCGTTATTTCTACAAAAATGTTTAATAAGATTTAATTTACATAACTATAGCTTCATTTAACATAACTTTGATTTACAGTGTTTGAGCTTATTAATGCAATTTATATTTGACCTTTAATTTTTAAAAAGTAGTTTATCCTAGAAGAAAAACAATTTTTTTTAAGGAAAATATTTGAAAAAAATTTTTTTTTTGAGACAGAGCCTCACTATTGCCCAGGCTGGAGTGCAGTTGCATGATCTTGGCTCACTGCAACCTCCGCCTCCCAGGTTTAAGCAATTCTCCCTGCCTCAGCCTCCCGAGTAGCTGGGATTACAGGTACCCGCTATCAAGCTTGGCTAATTTTTGTATTTTTTAGTAGAGATAGAGCTCTGCCATGTTGGCCAGGCTGGTCTTGGACTCCTGACCTCAGGTGATCTACTCGCCTTGGCCTCCCAAAGTGCTGGGATTATAGGCATGAGGCATCACACCCAGCCAAAATATTTTTAAATCATCAATTATTAATACTATTTTAATTTTTTTTTTTGAGACAGAGTTTTGCTCTTGTTGCCCAGGCTGGAGTGCTCGGCTCACTGCAACCTCCGCCTCCCATGTTCAAGCAATTCTCCTGCTTTAGCCTCCCACCCGCTACTGTGCCCTGCTAATTTTTGTATTTTTGGTAGAGATAGGGTTTCACCGTGTTGGCCAGGCTGGTCTTGAACTCCTGACCTCAGGTGATTCCCCTCCCTTGGCCTTTCAAAGTGCTGGGATTATCAGTATGAGCCACTGCGCCCAGCCCTATTATTTAAATTTTTATGTTGATGTACTTATATATTCATATATTTAATTTATATTTTTGATGGGAATATATTCAAATATTATATATTTATATATTTCAAGTAGCATCTTATATATTTTAATCTGAAATTTTATATTTTATTAACTAAAGAATTACTTTAATCATGGAGAATAAATGTAAGTCCAATTTTTTTGTAGAAATAGAAAATATAGAAGCAGAGCTCAGAAATGAAAAGCTTAAAAGGAAACAGAAAAATCTTCAAAGAGAAATTTCTGCTTAAATTAAAAAAATCTTGAGACCAAGTAATTCAGCAGACTTTCACTGAGTGTGACTCACTTGAAATTAGCAAACAGGATATTACATTTAAAAAAATTATTCTTACCAGATATAAAACATGAACAGGACAATAAAATCTCTTCATATTTGTTATTAAAGGAAGAGTTAATTTTTTATTAAACAATGAATGCGAATGGACAAGATTAATTCTTATCAAATCCACAACTACAAGCAACAAACAGCTCCAGCCTTCTGTTAGAAGATGAGGCAAATGCTGTTCACAAAATTGGTAAATTGAGCAAGAAAGATGAAACCTCATCGCATCATTTTGATAGTGTGTGAATGCTTCTAGCAAACAGTCTGATTCAAATGGATGATTCTGATTTTTCTTTGGATAAGTCTGAAAAAAATTTAGTATTTTACATCAAAATTTCTTCAAGTGGAGAAAGTGTATAAATCAACTTTTATATTTTAAATTCAAAGACAAAGTATTTTCTAATTTTTTTTTCATATTTTATAACAGCTTTGGCTAAGACGATATTTGTGGCTAGAAACACTCACATTCTTAATAAAAAAAAAACATCACTTGGACGTAAAAATCACACCATGTTACCACCATGGGAAAACATCTGAATAAGCAGCAAACAATCAAAGGTATTCAAGAAAGACACCTGGTACTGAAATACATGGGTGTGATATTCTTAAAGGATAACAGTTTATACCCAATACTTAGCAAGCACGATGATAATCATGATGATGATATATGGTTGTGTGCGTATATGGGTGTGTGTGCGAGCTTGTGGTACCACTAATACAATATTTATAGAAAGCAATAGAAACTTTTTAATTTAGTAGAAATTATTTCAATAACTGAATGGCTGAGTCTGAAATATAGATGAAAAGTAAAGCATATGAACATGGTCAAGAATAAAAAAATTAGAATATAAGATCCATATTTTAAAGACTAAAGTGAGAGAAGAAATCATAAACAAATGTTTAAAATGGTAAATATTATTCATTCAGCTAGAGTATATCAAGGACAAATTATCTTGAACAACTAACATTTGTTGTTTGTATTGCTAACCACCAGTCAAAAGAAAACAGAGATATCGACCTGGCGTGGTGGCTCACATCTGTAATCCCAGCACTTTGGGAGGCTGAGGTGGGTGGATCACGAGGTCAGGAGATCGAGACCATCCTGGCTAACACGGTGAAAACCCATCTCTACTAAAAATACAAAAAATTAGCCGGGTGTGGTGACGGGTGCCTGTAGTCCCAGCTACTTGGGAGGCTGTGGCAGGAGAGTGGTGTGAACCCGGGAGGCGGAGCTTTCACTGAGCCGAGTTCACACCACTGCACTCTAGCCTGGGTGACAGAGCAAGACTCCATCTCAAAAAAAAAAAAAAAAAAGAAAAGAAAACGGAGATATCAAAATTAGTAGCTATGTCACTGCTTTTATGTCCATTGGAAAATGTATAGGTTTGATTTAAGTAAAAGATGGAATAGGCAACTTTCAGTTTTGGACATTGATCTTAAGCATCCTTACCACAATGATTAAAAAAAGAAGGTAACTATGTGAGGTGATAGATACACAAATTAGCTTAATGGTGGTAATTATTTCAGAAAGTATATGAACATCAAAACATCAAGTTGTACACCTTAGGTATATATAATTTTTTGTTGTCAATTATACCTTGATAAAACTGGAAAAAAAAGTAGTTAAGGGCACACCTAAGATAAAGACACGAGGAATGTTGTTGAAAAGTATAGAAGCCA